>NT_187658.1:190783-381566 GCF_000001405.40 Homo sapiens | reverse complement strand
CCCACTTCCCCCACTCCCTTTTCCTCTGGCTGAGGTGGAGGATGAACGGAATGATTGTTATGCTTCTTATATTGTCTTTGTTCTTACTGATTTTTGACAGTTTAGTGCTAGAAATATTTATTGATATCTCACTCAATATAATAGATAAAAGTAATCTGACTTTATATTTAGATGAAAGTAAAACTCTCTATGATAAACTCTCTATTTTAAAAACTCTTCTCAGCTTGACCAGTTTTATCCCCTTTTCTCTGTTCCTGACCTCCTTGCTTTTTTTATTTCTGTCCTTGGTGAGACATACTAGAAATTTGAAGCTCAGTTCCTTGGGCTCTAGAGACTCCAGCACAGAGGCCCATAGGAGGGCCATGAAAATGGTGATGTCTTTCCTTTTCCTCTTCATAGTTCATTTTTTTTCCTTACAAGTGGCCAATTGGATATTTTTTATGTTGTGGAACAACAAGTGCATAAAGTTTGTCATGTTAGCCTTAAATGCCTTTCCCTCGTGCCACTCATTTATTCTCATTCTGGGAAACAGCAAGCTGCAACAGACAGCTGTGAGGCTACTGTGGCATCTTAGGAACTATACAAAAACACCAAACCCTTTACCTTTGTAGACAGACTTTACAGAAGCTTTTCTAAGAGAATAACTCAACAAGGAGCATTTGGGGATCACTTCCACTGTTTTTTTTTTTTTTTTCTACTGGGTTTCTCTAAGTATTTTGGAACATAAATGAAATCCTACCAGGTTGCTTTTGATGGTAATTCACACATTGCCGGTCGATACCATTTTAAAAGTAATCATTTTTGTTTGGAGCATTGGCAAGCAATATTTTAACCTCACATATTATTTCAAAAAATCTAAATTATTTAATTTTATATGCAAACGATAGGTAATTGCAACTTGTGGAGAAAAAGGTGTGTGTCTTTAAAAGCAAGATAGATTACAAACTTGAATGGGTAAAAGATATATACAATGTGGATAGAAAATCTAATTAAAAACTAAAGTCACAGCAGGAAAAATATAGCCTCATAGCTTCAAAGCTAAACTTTTTTTTTTTTTTTTTTTTTTTTAATGGCATCTCACTCTGTCGCCCAGGCTGGAGTGCAGTGGTGTGATCTTGGCTCACTGCCACCTCCACCTCCTGGGTTCAAACAACTCTCCTATCTCAGTCTCCCGAGTAGCTGGGACTACAGGCACACACCACCACACATGGCTAATTTTTGTATTTTTAATAGAGATGGGGTTTCACCATATTGGTCAGGCTGTTCTCGAACTCCTGACCTCAGGTGATCCACCCGCCTTGGCCTCCCAAAGTGCTGGGATTACAGGCATGAGACACTGTGCCCAGCCCCAAGCATTTTTTTTAAATGAAAAAAAGTGGTTTTTTTTTGTTATTAGAAGTCTTGTTGATAACAAGGAAATACGACGATTATGTGAGAAAAGGAGAAGATTTGTAGTGTGAAATAAAATAAATTATCTTTAAATGGAAACTGGAAACACATGATTTAATGCTGATGTCAATTTAAAACCCCAAATAATAAACATTTTGATGTTTCTAGGCACATGCTAATTTTGCTAAATTCTAGGACATGCAATATGCATTTTCAGAGAGGCAGAAACCAATGTTTCTACCATGTTATGTAATAGAACTAAAATTATAGAAGTTTATGTCTTAATTCACAATTATACTCATATTGCTACTACAAAAAGATCATAATTACATTCTGAGGATGTTTGTGTTTGTGTTTGTTTATGTGACATGCATTTTGTTGCAATCTGATCACTGTATTTCTTAGAGGAAAAAATAGAAACAATGTTAACCAGCAAGGCACAGAAAGCAAAGTGATGTTGTTTATAGAATGTTGCAGGCTTATTGTAAATTTTAGACAAGCATATGTATACATAGTGCTGCTTTGACTGTGATAATCTAAGATTAGATAAGGTAACAAACTACAGATTGTAAATAAGGCTAAGGGTGGGAAAATTTACTAAAAATTTTGAATATGATGGCATAGATTAAAACACTGTACAGAAGCTGTATAGTGAAACTTTTTAATAACAAAGAATTCCTTTTAGAATTTACTTTTGATATGTTCTTTATATTGTGCTAGATTACAGAAACAAAAATGTGCTATTAAATACTGATAAATACATGCTTGTAAATTAATCTTGATGAAGCTATAGTTGAGGGCATGACTCCACAGCTGTGCCCTGGAGCCGGAAATGATGTTAGAATTATTAGTACTTCCCCCTCCCCATATGCATAAAATGAAATTGTAAGTACATCTGGGCTATATGGTATCATGTATCAATAACAATGATGTTGATGATTGTTTTAATGATAATACAACATCTTTTTTTAGTAATTTGCATTTTACAAAATAAAATGTACATATATTATTTTGATCACTAATTTAGTATTTTGTCAAAGATTATAATTATAATTTTCTTGCCTTGATAAAAGGTAATGTGCAAATCAAGCTGAATATATTTTAGACTTAGATACTGAGTTTATTTTAAAGATATTCTTTTATATAAATGACTTAACCTTGTATTCTTTAAAACACAAAATACTATTTATATTTTTGTGTCAGTAAACTTTTCTTTGATAAGCAGTTGATCCAACTCATAAGCAACCTTAGTGGTAAATTAATACATGTCTAATTAAGAGTAATACATGTCTAACACTTAGTAGGCAGCAACCCCAGGGAGATGGGACTACAAGGAACAGGACCCCATTCTTCACAATAGAAGCAAAACAAAAAAGTAGTAAGAGCAGCCCGGGACATATTCTGGTTATTGCAATTGATGTATTGTAATCCGTTTTTGTTTTTTGTTTTTTTTTTTGACACAGAGTCTTGCTCTGTCGTCCAGGCTGGAGTACAGTGGGGCGATCTCGGCTCATGGCAACCTCCACCTCCCGGGTTCAAGTGCTTCTCCTGCTTCAGCTTCCTGAGTAGCTGGGATTACAGGTGGTGTATGCCACCACGCCTGGCTAATTTTTGTATTTTTAGTAGAGATGGGGTTTCACCATGTTAGCCAGGCTGGTCTCGAACTCCTGACCTCAGGTGATCCACCCACCTTGGCCTCCCAAAGTATTGGGATTACAGGCATGAGCCACCGTGCCTGGCCAGTAATCTGCATATTTGAATGGCAAATGAGAGCAAGCTCTGCACCTCCACTTTCTCCCAAACAAGGCCTTTGTGGGAATTTAGCAGCCACCAAGCCACAATCCAAGAGCCATGCCCAACACATGCACTGACACATGCAACATGCAACATCCCATCAACAAGACTGATGGGATTATGACCTACCCTGGGACCCAGCTGTTGGGGAAAGAGGGAAATTATCACTCATTTTTATAGACTCCCACTCATCTCACTTGTCAAATAAATGCTCATTTCAAGATACTGGGTGTAATCATTGTGGTTATTTCAATGCATACAGTCAGGTAATTTATAGGACAGGAACAAATAACCTGTTTCTACTGCTGAAATTGGCTTATCTCCAACCCATAGCTCTAGTTCTGAAGGCAAATAAGACACAAATCAAGTATATCAAGGCATGTTTTCTTAAACTGTACTGAATGTAACATCAGGTAGAAACCCATACCAATACTGATTTCCAAGAAAAAGGAGCACCAATTTCCTCACTGTCTTGGGTGGTTTATCTGCTATGTCTTAGTAGGTGGCTTTTTCTAGCAAAATCTTCATTAGACAGCATCTTCTCTGAGCCAGATCATGCTTTAAGGGGTGTTTTTTTTTTTTTACAAAAAAACTTTTAGTTTCAGGGGTAAATGTGCAGGTTTGTTACACAAGTAAACTCATGTCATGGGAGTTTGTTGTACAGATTATTTCATCACCCAGGTATTAAGCCTATTACCCAATAGTTATTTTAGGGGGTGTTTGTATATTTGCACAGTCATTTTGCTTTCATTCTAGACACTGGATGATATTTTGTCTAGAGTAGGACATAGATTAATTATGTAGATTTAAAAAATTGTGATTATTAACTTGGACTTTGAATACAACTCATAGTATATGGGACTTGTGGTTTTTATACTTGTTATTGCATCTTTTATTTTTAGTTTCTTCAGCGTAACTACAAACTTAGATGTTCTTTAATCACTATCTCCTGACTGACTTGTTTTCGGTGTTTTTCACAGCTAAACCATGCCTATCAATGGAATCTTCTTCTCAATTAGCCTTTACATGACTTGCAGAGCATTTCTGAAAACATTAGTGATCTCTAGGGCTATCTTGCTTCTTGGGTCATGAAATCTAGTTTTCTAGCCATCTTCAACAGAAGTAGTTCCTTTTCATGAAGAAAAGTACCAAGCCTCCCCCATCTTGGGTGGCAGACCATGTTCCTTTTGATTCTGTATGATTTCTTGATTGAACTAGAAAGATTACAGAGCAGTGTTGGGTTTTTCAGGATTAGAACAGAAATCTTTCATAAGCTCATACATGAATGTAACATTTTCTGTAAGGAGGTACTTTCTTTTCTTGCTCTGATACTTGTTTCACAGTCAAGCCTAATTCATTTTCTCCTTTTGTGTGCTGCTAGTGGGACTGCCAACTAAGTTAGCACTAATTCATTTAACAAATAGTTATGGAAGACCTGCTATTATCCATGCCCTTTATGTTCTGTGAATTGGAAACAGACTAATGAACAACAACAAAAAAGTCGCTTATGTGGTTGTTAAGAGAGTTGGTGGCCAGTTTGCCAGTCAGCGTCAAAATTGGCTGAATGAGAAACACATTGTTAGAGAACAAGGCAGGCAAAATCCTGTCCTGTCCTTGCAGAATCATAGATTTGCAGCTTTTGGGTAGAAATATTTTTGCCTGGGTTTGGGAGTCACTGTAAGACATACATCAAGAGCCTCTCAGTGAGTGCCAGCAATGTACTCCAGACCAATTAGGTAAAAAAAATCCCTGGGAGTGGCCCACAGGCATCAATATGTTTTTTTAAATCTCCCAAGTTAACTCCAATGTGCAGTCAAGTTTGAAAAACATTGTATTAGAGTTACAAAATAATACAAATAAATTATAAAATGTATTTTACTGTGGATACATTTTTATGAGACAAAGAATTTTACCAAAGGAAGAATTAATGAAAAGGAGAATCTCCCTCCTATTCTCCCTCTTATGTTTTTTTGCTATTTTTCCATCCTTTTTTACTATTTTTTTTTCATTTCAGTTGATAAGAGCTTATTCAAAATCAAATAGCCAGGAAGGCATTGGAAACCAAGCTCAAAAGTTCAGTAAAATAGCTCAGATAAAGGAATACTTTTTGTTTCTTTACATATGCTTTTACATAATTATGTAAAATCATCTCCCTTTTTGTCTATTTCTTTAAGAAATCCTAAAAGCTTCAAGACCCAAGCCAACTGTCATTATCTTCATGAAACTAGAATTAGTTATTGGCCATAGATTTTATAACACCCTCCTCTGTGTTGTAATTGCATTTTGATCAAACTGTGGTTACATTCAGTAGTAAAAGCACATTTAATGTTGCTTCTTTTCACTACTCTGTGAGCTTTTTGATGCTTCTTTTTATTACACTTAATTCCTCTAAAGTAGAATTGGAAAATTATGGAGTTTATTTAATGAAACTAATGAGTAATACATATATTGTAGAGGTTATTTTTAGATAATTCTTTTAAAATTAAGATATTCAAATCCAAATGGTATTGACTTTCAGTTGAGGAGAAAATTACAAATCAGTGTAAAGAAATCTGTTTGATATTTGCATACCTGACTTTGCCCTTCTAGATGTCCTCACAAGTGGGAAATTGCTCTCAGTGCCAATGATGAGTGGGCACATTTACTACATTTACTATTTAATTTGTAAGTCAGTAGCTGATTAAAAATAATGTTAAAGTTTTTTTTAAATTAAGATATGTGAGACTGGATCTTCTTGCACATATTTCAGGCCTACTAGTGAGATGAATATAAAAAAAAACAGAAAGATCTTTTGTGAAGATAAGTGAGGTGGCATCAAACAGAAGATCATTCTGAGTTACTCTGAACATTTTAAATATAAATCTGAAAATCATCAAGTTGGATATTATTCTGCAACGTTTTGACAGCAAAAGTATCAGTGAAACATAGTATTAGCTTTCTGGATTTGTTTCTCCAGAAATGCCACCTGGAATTGGAAATACCTTTCTGATAGTAATGATGGGAGAATTCATAATCTGAATGTTAGGGAATGGGTTCATTGTACTAGTTAACTGCATTGACTGGTGAGGAGTCAAATGATCTTATTAGACAACTGCATCCTCACCAGCCTGGCTATCTCCACAATCAGTCAACTTTGGATAATACTACTTGATTCATTTGTAACAGCATTATGGCCACATCTATATGCCTTCAATAAACTAATAAAATTTATTCATATTTTTTGGGCACTGACCAATCACTTAGTTACCTGGCTTGCTGCCTTAGTGTTTTCTACTTCTTTAAAATACCTATTTTTCCCACCCATGCTTCATCTGGCTGAGATGGAGAATTAGCAGAACGCTACTTGAACTCCCACTGGGGTCCTTGCTCTTACTGTTTTTCAACCTTGCATTAACAGGTGGACTTAGTGACTTGTGGATTAACATCTACACAATTTATGAAAGAAACTCAACTTGGTCTTTAGATGTAAGTAAAATTCTATATTGTAGCCTCTGGATTCTTGTCAGTTTGATCTACTTAATTTCCTTTCTTCTGTCCCTGATCTCACTGCTCCTTTTAATTCTGTCCTTGATGAGACATATCAGGAATTTGCAGCTCAACACCATGGGCCCGAGGGACCTCAGAATGAAGGCCCATAAGAGGGCCATGAAAATGAAAATGAAAATGATGGTGTCTTTTCTCCTCTTCTTTTTGGTTCACTTTTCTTCTCTCCTACCAACAGGTTGGATTTTCCTTATACAGCAGAAATAGCAGGCCAATTTTTTTGTCTTGTTAACGTCAATTATTTTTCCTTCAAGCCACTCATTTGTCCTAATTTTGGAAAACTGCAAGCTGAGACAGACTGCTGTGGGACCACTGTGGCATCTTAAGTGCCACCTAAAAAGAGTGAAACTTTAGTTTTGTAGACTTTTCTGGATTTTTCTGTATTCCAGGGGAATTAATGAGAACACATTGAAGATGTATTTTAGCATGTGTTTTTCACCCAGATTATTTTAAGGTGTAATTAAGCATCACAAAATTTCCCTAGAATGGCCTATAAATGAACGATTTACTCATAAAGTCAGCCAATGTAATACCGGATTTTTTTTAAAAAGTAAGTATCATTGTCATTTTAATATTTGCTAGTAACTAGGAAATATTTGAGACTTAATATAAATGTAAAATATATAATGCAACATGTATTTATTTTATATGTGCTGGCAAATGTGTGATTACATTCACATGTGAGGAAAAAAAACAGTAATATTTGGAAATGGTTCTAAATGCCATTAGAACCTAATACCTACTCCAATCTGGAGTAGGTGGCATATTTTTATAACACTAAGTCAAATACATTAAGAACTAAAAATATTGAAAGCATATAATCTCATAGCAATAGAGGTAACTTTTAAAACAAAATAGCATTCTCTCATTAGGACTCCAGCTAGGAATTCAAGCTATCCTACCTTTGTAGGATAAGTGCAAAATCAATTGAATTTCTAAAAAGAAGTTGAATACTTATCCCTATGTCCATAATGATGCTTATATTTTTACTTTTTTGGATCAAAACCACACTTTGACACAGGATCTCTGTGTGTGTGCACATGTGTAATGACATATTTTTGTCATACCATGAATACTAGTGTGTCACACCAGAGAAAACTAACACAACCAACTAACTCACTAAGAATAAGAACATAAAGGAAAATTTATAAGAGAATGTCACATATTTGCATAAATTTTAGGCATGTTTGTATTTGTGTATAGTTCTAGGTTGACTTTTACAAAAAAATAAAGTAACTGAAAATGTATATAATATATAATCTTAAGGCCAGTCCAGGCCTATACAGACATTTAGATTTTTAAAACTCCATTCATTGTTAGATACTGTATAATAAATTTCCTAATGATTATCATGGGCATTATCTTGCTTTAGAAAGGGCAACATTAAAATCACACTGGCTATATTTAGGTTCAGATAGTGAGGATAATATGGTTTGGAATTACTCCTTTCAGTAAATAAGTTAAATTCCCTTCCCTCCCCTCTCCTCCCACCCCTTCCCTTGACCCTCCCCATCCCCACTCCCTCCCCTCCCTCTCCCCTCCCCCTTCCCTTCCCTCCCCTTCCCTTCCCTTCTTTACTTTTTGGGATGGAGTTTTGCTCTTGTTGCCCAGGCTGGAGTGCAATGGCGCAATCTTGGCTCACTGCAACCTCTGCTTCCTGGGTTCAAGCAATTCTCCTGCCTTAGCCTCCCAAGTAGCTGGGATTATAGGCATGCGCCAGCATGCCTGGCTAATTTTTTTGTATTTTTAGTAGAGACAGGGTTTCTCCATTTTGGTCAGGCTGGTCTTGAACTCCCGACCTCAGGTGACCTGCCCGCCTTGGCCTCCCAAAGTGCTGAGATTATAGGGGTGAGCCACTGCGTCCAGACTAAACTTTTCTTTAATGATCAAGATTCAAAAGATTTAAACAACCATACACAACCCTTGCTTCTAGTGAGTGGGACTTAGAAGTAAATGTCTCATTAGGATTAAGTCTTCACATCTCACGTACTATCCTTGCAGAGATGAAGCCATATGGAGCAGAGACCTATTCCAGATAATAAAAGCACAGAAAATGACTATTAAATGATGAAGGCTGGGAGAAAGTGTGGGACTGTTGCTACCACTGTATTGCAGTCTCCCTATTACAATGGCATTTTGAGATTAAGCTCTGCACCATCATTTTCCATAATGAAAGCTTGGGTTGGAGATGCAAGCCACGATCCAAGAAAACCACGACTCTTACATCCAAAGCTAGTTTCAGGCAATCTGGAGAGAACTGTATCCTATCCTGGGAACAAATAATTGGGAAAAGAAAATGATCGACATTTTTTTTTTTTTTTTTTGCCAATTGCTTTCCCCTAAAGTAAGTTTATAGTCTTGATGTCATGAGAGTTTTTGAGTTTCCCGCCCCTGCCCCCCCCCCCCCCCCGCCAACCCAGTTTGGTCACACAGTTGATTTATAGAAGAGTTGCCAATAACCTGAATAACCTGTTTCTAATGCCAAAAACGGCTGATGCCTGAGCCCTGCCTTAGGCCTAGAACTTAAGATGAGAAGATATTTTGGGTGCGCAAGCCATGTTGTCCTTAGCTTTACTCAAAGAAAACATCCTAGTGAAAATATGCATGGATCAATACATATTTCAGAGGGCGTGATTGTCTCTGTTGAATCTCTGATAGTTCACATGGTTTGCTGCTGCCCTTAATCTCATGTCCTTTGAGCTAGAGACTTCCTTAATTAAAATACAGAAACAAGGAGGCCATCTGCAAATCCATACTTCCAGTGCACTCATCTGTTACATTGCTTAATGCTGTGTACAAGACCTAGGCCCTGAGCTAGATTATTGCCAAGAATAAATCTTCATTTAGAAAATTGATCAGATGGTTGGCTTGATAAATTCAGAAAAATGTTAGGCAATATTTTTTTGGGAAGGTTATTTGTAGAAGAAATCCCAGGTGACAGATAAACTATTTTCAATTTTAGCTATTTTGAGGGGCACCAATGTAGATGCAGCTTCAGAAGACAAAGGCATTATCCTGACTTGTATATTGCCACCTCTATTCCTTAGCCCCATGTTTAATAAATGAATCAGTTCTGGAAATAAGTTAGCTTCCCTTTTATATAGATATAACCTGGCCCCTGAACTTTGAAGCTTCTATTATTTTCCTTTTAGACTTCAGTTTGAGATACTTTCACAGTTTTCAAAAACCAATTAAAAAGTGAAAATGATCTCTTGAACAACAGTTCTTTTTTTAAACATCTCGTATTTTTGGCTTTTTGTTTTTTTGAGACAGGGTCTTGCTCTGCAGCCCTGGCTGGAGTGCAGTGGCATGATCACAGCTGTTTTCTTTTTTTTTTTAATCTGCTGAACATAATCTCTAATTCTCTGCCAATGATCTTAGAGCCAAGACATTCTAGTTACAGTATTTCATTATTTGGTGGTGTGATTTTTTTCTCCCTCTTTTTGGTTGATGAAAAGTTGTACCCAACTTCCCTCACTAATAATATGAATGATCTCCATTTCTCTTTATTGTTCATTGATGCATGCCACTATTTTACAGTGGCTAAGTCCATATGCTTGGTGTTGAAAGCCATGGAGATGGTGAAGATTTTGTAATGTTCATTGCAGATCCCTAATCAGGATAGAAACTGGCAGGGATGTCCTGCAATTAAGCTACTAAGACTTCCATAGTTTCTTCATTTGTAGTAGGCTTTTGGGAAGGTCCTTGGGCCTTTTAGTTGTTCCAAGAGCATTGCTGAAATTTGTATTTGTGGAGAGTAGGGGTAAGGGGAGGTTTACTTATATTTTGAAAAGATCTCATGACTTGACCTGGTGGTAATCCTGCTGAGCAAATCCTATTAAGTCTAGTTTGTTCAGGCTGCTATAAAAAATACCATAAAATGGGTGCTTATGAACAACAGAAATTTATTTCTTATAGTTCTAGAAGCTGGGAAGTCCAAGATCCAGGCATTCACAAATTTGGTATCTGGTGAGGGTTCATTTCCTTGTTCATAGATGACTTTTCCCTATAACCTTACATGGCAAAAGGGGTAAGGGAATTATTTTGGGGTCTCCTTTATAAAGGCACTAATCCCATTCACGAGGGTTTCATCTTTATGACCTGATCACCTCCCAAAGGTCCCATCTCCTGAGATCATCACTTTGGGGGTTAAATGCCAACATGTGAATTTTTGGGGGGCACATTCAGACCATAGTACAAGTGTTAAAACTGCAAGAAGAATCCCCACACTCAAGGTAACCCAAGTAATAGACTAATATGAATCAATCCAACCCAATTGTTGGGAATTCTCATAGTTCTTGCAGAGGTTCTTTTCTTGGTTCATTTTCTTGGAACTTCCCAAGTCGTCTTTAGACTACTTTCCATGCTCAAACTTCCAAGTATTAGGATATTCCTTTCCCTCATCTTTTGTCCCTATATTCCTCAACTTTCATCCTACCCCTTTATGCTTCTGCATGTAACTTTATTTTCTTCTTGACGCTATCAAAAGCTATTGATGTCCTGCCAGAAACATCTCCCATTAAAAGCAAACTGCAAGATTTTCTAACACAATTTAGTTAGGGATCCTCAGGACAGGAACAGACATGGCTTCAAAATTTAACATTGTCTGATCTCTACTCTGGGTAGCACAGGAAAGTGTTTCCCTTCCATTCTGAGGACAACGTTCTTTCCTCTCTCTCCCTTTGCTCCCATATCCCTCAATCCCACCAACCCTCTAATAAAATAAGCCAATAGGTTTAAGGCTGCAGAGTATAAAATACTTGAACTTACATATCAAATCATGTTAAATATTTATATTTTAGTATGAAAGACCCTCAATAGTTATGTTAAAAAAAATAACTATTACCCAGGTAATATTTCTGTCCAGAAATTTGAGAAACAGAATTATTTGTAATTATCTACACATTTAAGAAAATTGAACTCCTTATGAAATATAACTTTAGGAATTACTGGAGATTCATTTGAGGTCTGGTTGGTTATCATGACCTTAGGAATTTACTTAACCTCTCTAAATCCCGGTTTGCTTCTCTGAAAAATGATAAAAATGTTTTCCTCACAGGGTATATGTGAGAATTACGGAGCTCATGTATATAAATAGTTTTTCATAGTTCCTGGTATTAAAAACTCAATATATTTTAAAAATGATGCTGATGGTAATGATATGCTATTTGTCAAGTAATCACACATATTTTTACCCAGAATTTAAAAAAAAAAACAACTTTTCCCCTATCCCTTAGGTTACATATGTTGCTATGTTCACTGTTTTCCTTTTATAGTTAAAATAAGCTGTAACGCATCGTTTCCCATTTTTTTTTTTGCCAGCTACATTTCTTATCTCTATTGATAATAACTATACCACCTATGTCTCTGCTTTTTCATGCTTGAGGGATCTCTGGATCAATCAACGTGCATGATGGCCTGAAAAAGCCCAATTTATGGGCAATAAAGTGAATCATCTTATTATCAGGAACGAATATATGTTTCCTTTATTGACTGCTGACTATGTAGAGCATACCAACAAAATTGCCATTCATCTATCCATTCAACAATATTTATTAGCTATTCCGCACTGGGCAATGCTCTAGGCTTGGGGATAGAACAGTGAACAAACAAAATCCTTAGCCTAATGGATATTACCTGGAAGTGTGCCAGGAAAAATAAACTCACTTGTGAATTACAACAATAAGTGGTTTATTCAGGTCAAAATCTTGTTTTGTCTCCTGGGAATTTCACTGAATTGCATCATGTAGGAGGCAAACTATACCCCAAGAATTAAGAGCAATTGTGAATAAATGATAAACCACAGAGTTTACATTTACCTCCTAATACATTTAACTCCTAATATATATATATATACATATATTACGAGGTAAATGTAAGCTGTAACTTTATGCATATATTGTAAGTAGTAACTATACATATATACTTATATACTGTATACATATATAGTAAGTAGTAACTATACATATATACATATATAGTTACTACTTAAATTTATATATGTGTATGTATATATATATGTATATATACAGTACACACACATACTGTTACTACCGGGTGTAAAATTGAATAGGATATAGTGTCTTCCCTCACAGAGCTGCCAATTATGTTGGAGGATGTAATAAATACAAAGTCTGTTTCTTCATCTTCGATTTAACAAATGACTGATGTGAGGAAAAAAGTTGTAGGAATATGTTCACATAGTCACCCAAATGGAGCATCCTACTCTGTCACCATTTCAGGATTAAGACTAGACAGTCTTTTGTGTTACAAATTGGGACATCAGTGCTCTGGGAAACAGTGATGTCCACGATTCTAAATCCCTTGGTATTACTATTTCATTGATTAAACTACACTTCTGATATTTTAGACTAAAATGTTTTGGCTTATCGCAGTCTAGGAAACCTGTCTTGGGTATATAAAACAGATAGTTGATGCACGATTAGGGAAAAATAAGGCAACCTATGAAAATGGCCTTATGGATTAAAAGAAGTGAGCTCCTATATGGTCAGTGGAATCCAGGAAAAATTTAATGGAAAAAGCGCCACCTAAGCTTAGCTTTAAAACACAGAGTATCTTCAGGTAGAAAAGGCTATAGGAGAATGTGCCCAAATGGAGTTTGGCTGGAGACAAAGAATAAAGACTAGAAAGAACAATTACCCTAGGCCAGACATGGTGTTGGACGGGGCAAGATGCTTACTATTTAAAGCCATAGAACACTGTTTGCTGGACACAATGAGTGGAATATAGAACAATGCAACTATTTTAACACTTTACCCCTCTTAGTGGTTTATTAGTTAATTTTTTCCTGAAAAAAAAAATGCGTATACTACTTTTTCTGCACTTTTCTATATCAGATCTTGATTTAAAACTTTACCACTCTTGGTGATTTATTATTAGTTTTTTTAATCCGAAGAAAACATGTGTATACTCCTTTTTCTGCATTTTTCTATATCAGATCTTGATTGGCTCACCACCATTACACACACACACATCTCTTTTCTCCCATCCTCCCAGCGTTATAGAATCATTTGTTGTAAAATCAGTATTCAGTATTTACATAATTATGACTGACTTTACATGACTACTATTATTCACAGTTGAGGTATACCGTGTATACAGTGTAGTTTTTAAATTTTTATTTTTCTCAGCGTTCAAAATTATATGTTCTGTTTTCTTAATTTTGAAAAATATGCATTCACTAATTTATCCCCACACTCTTTGGAAAATGAAAGCTCTCTAGGCTGTATTCAAATACACCAGGTACTCTATCAATTTTCATTTTTTAAACTATTCTACCTGAGCTCTCCATCTTTAGCCATTTCCTGTTGACTTCATACTGTTCTCCCCTACCACTCTCCCTCTTTAATATATTACCGTTTTAGAAACTTTATGGCTACCCTGTAAGTAATAAAAATGTCTTTCCCCACTCAACAACAGACAGTACCTTTCAAGTTTCCACTTTATAAGGACATAACCCCCATTCCATTTACTTCCCCTGCCCTCCTTCAACATTCCCACTTGTATTTTCCGGCTGTATTTTTAAAACATGGTAAATAACATTTGCACTCCACTTTGTAACCATAATTAAGTATGCCCTTAAACAATAAAAACCATAAACAACATTTGTATTTTACGATTATTTAAATGTTATTCACTGAACAGCCAAGCTTTGTGCTACTATGGGATTTCGTTTTCTGCGGTTCCAAGTCTTGATCCACGTCCTGCCACAGGATCACTGAAGTAGAGTCCATTTTCTTACACTCTCGCCATTAGTTCAAAAGCTTGCAGCATTTTATGTCTGGTACTTGGAGGATGATTTTCCTGTACAGTTTTGCGTTTTTTTCACCGAAAATTTCTGATTATTATTGTTTTCTCTTGTGGGATGAAATATGTACCTTCTATATCACAGCCTTAATACCTTCAGCTTCTTATTCATTCAAATCTTGCTTACAATCCAGTCCGAGGATTCCCGGTTTACTGATTTTCTTTTTCCTGCAAATTTTAGCCTTCTGTTTTGTTTTGAAATAATGCATCCTCTGCGCTTTGTCACATTCTGAAATTCGTCAGGTGTTTTAGGATGCACACTTTCTTAGATCTTTTCGAGGGTCTTAACTGCAGTTCTGTTTCCGGAACGGCGTATTTTCTTTCTAGGGATTGTAGGCTCCCGGCCGCCCCCTGAGGAGCTCCGCTAGCAGCTAAGAGGGCAGCCACGAAGAGCGCCTGAGCACTCTCGCGAGACTGTGGGGCTCGCCATTGGCTGCTCCGCCGCGCCGCAACGGACCCTGGGAGTCGGCCATCATGCTGGCCCCGGAGGCCGTTAGCTTAGTCATGGCTCTAAATATGTACCTGCAATCGGATGTTGAGGATCACCGAGCCCGCGACGTAGAAGTACGGGAAGTTCATGCGCAGCTGCCAGGCCAGCTCGAAGAAGGCGAGCAGGGTGCGGGAGAGCCCCTTGCAGAAGACGCCGTACGAGGTGGGTGTCGCGGCGGGGCTTGAGGCCCTGACGGCCAAGGAGGACGGAGCCGCCGCGGGGGCCATGAGCCAGGTGTCGCCGCCCGCCCAGCGTCTGTAGCGAGGGTTGCCGCAGGGCCCGCGGACCTCCTAGCGACGGCTGGGACCGGCAGGACGGTAAGCAAAGCGGCCCCTGGGCTCACACCCAAGCTTGCCGCTGCCGCCGCTCGGTGCAGTGCGGCGCGTAGCCCCGGGCGCCGCTGGCGCTCCGCCCCTTCCTGTCTGCTTCTCACTGTGGCATTTACCATTTAGAGCTCAACTGATGGTAGGTGGCTCTGGAATAGGATGTGTTATATAGCATGTACGAACATCCATGCAGATAGTTCCACTTTAAAATGAAAAAATCTAAGCGAGATGTAACTTGCCGTAGGGCACAAAATTTGTAAGGGCCAAAGCTAGATTAAAACTTTAGTTTGTCTGCTGTGTTATGTGGGATGTTAGGAATCTTACCCTTTTGATTTCATAACATTAATATTAGGGCAAGATGATTCCTACGCCAATAAAAGCACAAGGTCTCTGTATTCATAATATACCATAGACATAAAAAGGATCACAATCTTAGTCTTTGGATTTTTCTATTTATTAGGAATATTTAAATTGCAAGTGACAGAAATGATAAACATTCAAGCAAAAAACTAGTGGACACACACGCGTATATACATAAGGACATACATACAAAATTATATTCCCAGCCATGTAAACCCTTAAAAAGTTCAGATTAGCTGTGGAAGCTTCAGCCATTTCTGCATGGAGATGCATCTGTGAAACCTGCGGCTAGGCTCCAAGAGCTGGAATACTACTCTGTACTTCCAAACTCTTTTTTTGTTGTTGTTTTTGAGACGGGAGTCTCGCTCTGTCGCCCAGGCTGGAGTGCAGTGGCGCGATCTCGGCTCACTGCAAGCTCCGCCTCCCGGGTTCACGCCATTCTCCTGCCTCAGCCTCCCGAGTAGCTGGGACTACAGGCGCCCGCCACCATGCCCGGCTAATTTTTTGTATTTTTTGGTAGAGATGGGGTTTCACCGTGTTAGCCAGGATGGTCTCGATCTCCTGACCTCGTGATCTGCCCGCGTCAGCCTCCCAAAGTGCTGGGATTACAGGCGTGAGCCACAGCGCCCGGCCTGTACTTCCAAACTCTTAATACCATTAGAGTAACAGCACAGTGAATCTCTAATAGCCACAATACTTTTGTTATTTAAATGATGCACATTTCATTACCTTCACTTATCTCCCATTTTAACTAGAAAGCACTGTATTTTTTAATCGCACACACCGTCTTCATTCATGGATTATTCAAATGTGTGATTTCTGATCATGACCTTAAGGTTACAGTCTTGTTCTGAAAAGCATTGTTGAGATACCACACATCGCACCGTGCACTGCATGTCTAGCAGCTATTCAGAGCACAAGTACGGTACCCTAGAGTACCTCTGTTTCTATATAGTCTACTGATTATATGACTGGTAGAAATAACGTGCCACTGAGAAATTTGTAAAAATTAATTTTGTGCTCCCAGCTAGTATTCTTTTGCTACTTTGCTGCTCCAGTACCACTCCAGCGAGGTAGCACTTAGAGGAATTACTTATGACAACTTCTAAAATACTGGTATAGAGACTGAAGAGCGATGTAAAATAAATGATCAATTCTGAGAACTGGGAGAAGATATATAGTTTCAGTTCACACATATAATTTACTCCCTTTGAAAACTGAAAGACTAATACACAGAGCCATTCAGAGTCACAGGAGTCATTACGTTCCTGGATTTTTCATTTCCAAATATGTAAAGCTATGTGGACTCATTCTGTCTTCTATTCCTCTTTTGTGCCACCCTTTACGCCCTACTTGCTCCGTTTCTGGGTAACTCCATGAAAACCTTATCTTCCACCCTGAGACCGTGGGGAAAATAGCAGCCACCCACTGATAACATGGCCAGATTGAGGGCCTATTCCAATGGGACGGGAATAGGCAAAGAACAGTCACAAAGCTCCAAATCCTACTCCTTAATGCTCTAGAGCTGAAGAAAGATTTCCTTCTTTCCACCTGAGAGTGGGATAGGAGCAATAATTTAGGTGGTTGTAGATTTTATCTGCCCCTTGATGTTTAGATTTGAATGCCTAATCCACACTGCTTTTGCTGCGGGTGATATTAGGAGAATTCATGATTAGAGTATTCATGATTGGAAATGGCTTGATTGTACAAATTAGAAAATTCATGATTGGAAATGGCTTGATTTTACAGATTAACTGCATTGACTGGCTTGGGCATTGGAAGCTTCCTTTAACTGACTTTTCATCAGGTTAGCCAGCTCCAGAATTTAACAGCTGTGTTTAATACTGCTTAATATTTTTATACTTATGTTCACACCACACCATTAACTTGTGCTAATGCCAAACTAGAAAAAAAGTACGTTTCCTTTTGGACACTGATCAGTACTCAACCCTTTGGTTTGCTATCTGCCTGATAATTTTTGGAGGTGGGGGTGGTTCACAATAGCTAATTTTTCTCAGCCATTTTTCCTTTGGATAAAGTGTAGAATTAATTATGTGAATATTATGATTCTGATGGAGTCCTTGGTTTATTAACATTCAATTGGGAAATAAATGATTTTGGAGTCGTAATCTTTCTTATTTTCTTTTTATCATGTACTGTTTTTCAGCTTTTATAGCAGATTTGATTCACTTTATGGTAAACAGCCTGCTGGGCATGGTGCTTTTGCAGATAGTAGGAGCCTTCTGCCTTTCTGATCACTCTGATTCTGATTCTTGGGAAGAGCAAGCTGAGTCAGACCTCACTGATAATGCTGTGGAAGATTAGATTCTTGATATGATGGGAAACCTTGGCTCCTTGAAAGCCTTGACGAAAACTTTTTTGTATTAGGAAAAAATAAAATCAAGTAGAAGCCCACATAAAAACTCTTTAATTTTTCTTTTCTCTTTCTTTCTTTCTTTTTTCTTTTCTTTTCTTTTCCTTTCTTTCTTTCTTTTCTTTCTTTTCTTTCTTTTCTTTCCTTTCTTTCTTTTCTTTTCCTTTCTTTCTTTCTTTCTTTCTTTCTTTCTTTCTTTCTTTCTTTCTTTCTTTCTTTCTTTCTTTCTTTCTTTCTTTCTTTCTTTCTTTCTTTCTTTCTTTCTTTCTTTCTTTCTTTCCTTTCTTTCTTTCGTTTTTTGCCATGGCTTTAATATGTACATATAGTTTGACGTCATTGTAATTCTTACCAGAACATACTCAGAGCTAAATATATACTCTTATTTCCATATTTCAAGAAAGACTTTTCTTTTTCTCCCCTCAAACCTCTCTTTTAGACAATGAAACACACTTAATAATTGTCAGATTATTAAGATCTATTGTATTCTTCATTACAAGGCCAGATTTCATAGGTGCATAAAAAATCACCTATACATGAATCTATTTTTTAATTGAGACATTTGTAAACCATGCATGTGGAAGAATATGATATAGCATGCATTTATGCATGCATTTTGAAAACCAGCTTGAGAATTTTACTTCCTTTTAGTTAGCAGTAGACCAAAAGAGAATGTTGCTTCTGCTCTAACAAAGAGAGTAAACTAGGTAGGCTACAAAGTCATAATTTATTTTGAGCTTGTTAGAACTGAAGTTACAAGGTGAGCAGGTAAACTGAATTTTAGCACTTTGGGAGGCCGAGGTGGGTGGATCCCGAGGTCAGGAGATCTGGGCCATCCTGGCTAACATGGTGAAACCCCGTCTCTCTACTAAAAATACAAAAAATTAGCTGGGTGTGGTGGCAGGCGCCTGTAGTCCCACCTACTCGGGAGGCTGAGGCAGGAGAATGGTGTGAACCCAGGAGGCGGAGCTTGCAGTGAGCCGAGATGGGGCCACTGCACTCCAGCCTGGGTGACAGAGCGAGACTCCATATCAAAAAAAAAAAAAAAAATTACAAGCCTTTCCAAATAGGAGACATGAATTTATTTCATCTGTGGCAGAACTCCAGAAGAGTTCTCTGGCGTTTCAGTAGGTAACAAGAAAATGGCTGAAATTTTAACAAATTCTTACAAAGGTTGAGTGTAGTTTAATGTGACAGTTTAGAATACCTGGGAGCCCCAGACACAGGAGTGGTCTGTAATTGCCAGCTTTTCCCCTTGGGCTTCTACCGAATGCTTACTGGAAAGGTTGAGGACAGACAGGAAACCTAGGAAAGTTCCTTTATGGTACACGGTATAGGAGGCAGAATAATGGCTTTCCCAAAGATGTCTATGACTTAATCTTTGGAACTAGTTAATATGTTACATTATATGGCATGGAGATTTTGCAAATGTGATTATTGGTATGCACCTTGAGATGGGAGATTATCCCATATTATTTAGGTGGGTTCAGTCTAATCATATGAGCCCTTAAAAACAGATTATTTCTTAACTAGGGTTAGAGAGATGCAACACTTCTGACTTTGAAGATGAAGGAGTCCCCAAACCAAGGTCTGCAGGTAGTTTCTAGAAGCTGGGAATGGCAAGGAAATGGATTCCTTCCTAGAGCCTCCAGAAAGCAATGCAGCCTTGCTGACACCTTGATTTTAGCTTAGTAAGACAAATACCAGACTTCTGATCTGTAGAACTGTTAAGATAATTTTGTAGTATTTAAGCCACTAAATTTATGATAATTTGTTTTAGCAGCAGTGCAAATCTAAAACAAATGGGAACAAAATCTTCTTAAGTTTTAAAGTGGAGTAATAGAAACTGGAGAAGCCCATTTACACTGGACCCTGCATGAGTAAAAGGTGGTTGTTGGCCAGTGCTAGGGGACAGGCAAGAAAACTACACATGTTCTGGATCTTTATTATGCAAAATCTGCCTGCTGCTGAGTGAGGGGCAGGGAATACACTGTAACCTGGACCCTACTCTGATATTGGGCAATAGCTGATTGGCACAAGGAGTGGGGTAAGAAACCTGCCTGCACTCCTAGGTCTGTATTAATACATATTAGAAGTCTGTTGTCACAGGGGAAGTCCAGGAAACTCACTTGCTCTGGGCTGCATGCTGGCTAAACAGAAAGGATCTGCCAGTGAAGGAAGGCAGAAAACCCACCAATCCTGGACTCTGCATGAACACCAGGAAAAACCCATTTGCTGCAGGAAGGGGGCAGTTAACCTGATGATATCAAGACCCTCCACTGATACAAGACATTGATTGACTGACACTCAAGGAGGGGCAGGAAGATTGCCTGACTTGGACTCCCATGCTGACACTGGGTGAAAGCCATCTGTTGCTACTGGAGGAGGGGGAGAAAACCGGCTTTCAGCCAGGATCCTTCACTGATTTTAGGCAGTTTTTCTTGTTGTGGGAGTGGTAGGAGCATTAAAAAAGTCCCACGTCTGAGGCAAAGGTGCGTAGACAGGGGCAGTTGCTAGAGAAGAACAAAGAGCTCCCATTGCCCCACCATGAACTTTTCTCTGATTAACAAGCAATGCCACTATACTGGGAGAGGGACACAAGTATAGAAAGAGCCTTCTCTATAGTGCATGTGTGGACTCTTGAAGCTGAGCACAAACACTGAGAATCCCTTTGGCACTCCAGTCTTCCCCAAAACACAAGTTACTGGCATTCCACCACTGGAGCCATTTGAATCTAAATACAGATAAACTACAGATTGGATTGATACAATTTCACACACTTAGTAGTCTGACAGAATAAGAAGGCAGCCCATTTTTGAGGGGTAATATTTATCTCAGGATTTATCTCAGGATTTACTGTAAATATGTATACACACATACAAAAACCCAGGCATTGTTAAGAGAAAATAATGGCCCAGAGGTTGAAATTATCAGACAGAACCTTTAAAAATAATTATGATTAATGTGTTAAAATTCTAGTGGAAAAGATAAATAACATGCTCAGGAAATTTTAGCAGAGAGATAGAAACTATATAAGAAGCTCAAATGAAAATGCTAGAAATGAAAAGCAGTATTGGAGGTGAAAGATTCCTTTGGCAATTTATCAACAGACTGGAGATGGCAGAGGCAGAATCAGTAATATTGAAGGCAGATTACTATATATTATTCAAACAGAAAAATGAAAGAGGGAGAAAAGGAGAGAAGAGATGGAGGAAAAAATTGGGAAGACTGGCAATACTAATTTGTGAGGATAGGGGGCAACTAGAATCCTCATACATTACTGGTGGAGATGCAAAGTGGCAAAGCCTCTTTGGTTGAGTTTGATAGTTTCTTATGAAGTAAAAAATACCATGAAACCCAGCAATTCTTAAGAGAAATGAGAACATACCCGTAAAATTGAATACTACTCAGCAACAAAAAAGAATAAATCACTTTTACATGCAACAACAGATGACTCTAAACATTCTACCAAGTGAAAGAAAGGTTCAAACATGATACCATTTTCTCTTCTACAAAGAGAAAAATATAGTGACAGAAAACAGATCAGTGATAGCCAAAGGCCTGAGGTAGAATGCACTGCAAAGGGGTCTAGGAATGTCAAGGATGTTTTTGGGGGTGATGGAAATGTTCTATATCTTGATTGTGGTAGTTAATCTGTATAATTTGCCAAAAGTAAACTGTATAATTAAAATGGTTTTTCATATAATTTATAAAAATTATATTTCAGTAAAGCTGATTTACAAAAAGAAGCATTTTTTTTTTGAGAAGCCTCAGACCACATTAGGTAGAAAACAAGACATTTTAGATGTTCTGAGTTAGAAGAAGTTTAATCAGGGAGTTAGACACTATACAAACATTAGAAGGCTTTGGGGGAAGTGAGACTAATTCTGGAGGGTTACTTTCAGGAATCCAGAATTGTAGGGGTTGTACATGAAGGCAATAACATTTGTGTCAGCTACTTGCATCCTCTATGCAGGCTACTGTATTAGTCAGGGATCTCCAAATAAACAGATCCAACAGAATCATAATTATGAGCCAATTTTCATAATAAACATGTGTAAAAAGGGATTCATTATAGGGATTGGCTCAATTGATTATGGAGGCTGAGAAGTCCCATGATACAACCAGTGGTGTAGTCTTGAGGCCAAAGGCCTGAGAATCAGGGGCTCTGATGTCCAAGGGCAGGAGGAGATGGATGTCTCCACTCAAGAAGAGAGTATATTTGCCCTTCCTCCAGCTTTTTGTTCTATTAGGGCCCTCATCAGATTGGTTGATGCCTACCTACATTGGTGAGGGCAGATCTTTACTCGGTCTACAGATTCCAATGCTCATCTCTTCTAGAAACACCTTTACAGAGGCACCCAGAAATAATGTTTTACCAGTTATACGGGTATTCTTTAACCCAGTCAAGTTGATATGTAAAATTAACCATCACAGCTACTGATGATATCAGGTGCCTCTGGCCTCAAAGTGGGTGATTCCTAGGAGTATATTTGTAGCTATCCAACCCTTATGCTTGTAGTCTGTAGATACCTAAGTGCCAGTCTAGATTGCTGCCCAAGAAATAATAGCTTTACCTCAAAGTGTCTTTTTTTAAGGGGGAATTTAATTGACCATGGGGTCTGGGAAATGTTATTCCAGCTTCTTTTTTATGTCCCTGTGGCAAAGGTGAGAGCTTAGAAACTTGGGGATGGTATATGGTAGAGTAAAAAATCTGATACACACATTGTATCTAGATGCTTAGCTTTGAATCTGCTTCTGCAGACTTTGTAATGATTCTCTGATACACTTTAATAAATGTCTTTTGTGCTTAAACTACCAGAATAGATTTTAAAAATAAGTTCATGTTGATATTTCCAATTCAGATTTTATATTCTTACTTCTTTTTTTCTCATGCTGAAAATCTTGGTCCGTAACCACACAACATTCACATAATTAATTGTGTGCATCAGCGCATATAATAGTTTCAAACTAACAGTACTCAGATTAGATTATTCTAACAGCTTAATTATTAAAACACTTTCAGATTTATCTTAGCATATATCCTTCTGGAGATAAAAAAACTATGTTGTAGGATCATTTGAAACAATTCCTCTTTTAGTTAAATCATCCATCAGACAGGTTCATTTGTTTTTATTTTTATTTTTCAGGATTAATATTCCTTTATTTTAATTTTTAGTGATTATTTAATAAATGTTCATGGTACCAGGGGTAAAACTTCAAAACAAAATGTATTCAGAGAAGCCTAGCTTCTTTCCTGTCATATGCTCTGTGTTTCCTTTCCTATAGGTAACCAATTTTTTTTCCTTTTTTAATTGCTTTTAAAAATTTAAGATATGGAAGGGGCCATGCTAATATTCTCTGTAATTGTTCCAACTTTAGTATATGTGCTGCTGAAGTGAACACTATACGTAACCATTTTTTAAAGTCAGCTTTTGACAATACCATTCTTAAACAATATAGAACATACTACACACATTGTTCTGCATTTTTCCTTTTAAAATAATTTAATAATTAGGTATCACTTCATAGTACTATATAGCAATCTTTCTCATTTCTTTTTACAGCTGAATAGTGTTCCATGTATCCCTTCTCTCTGCAATTATTGATTGACTCAGGCTAAAGAAGTCTTCGCAAATATTAACACATTTTTCCATGGTTGCCCAGGGGGTATTCTTCATTACAAGTGTGCATGTGTATTTATGTGTGTGTTTGGGGTGAGGCTGTATTTGTTGGGGACATAGAGTTTTCACACATCACTTCTCAAGCTCCAGTGGCAAGAACTCAGACACTGGGTCACACCCAACTGCATGGGATCCTGGGAAATGTAGTCTCATGTGTGCTCAGGAAGAGGAGAACAAGGATTTTGGTCAGCAACACAGTACCTGCCACAGACTTCATGCCTATTTTTAAATCACCATATGTACCCTTCTTCCCACATATAGAACACACTTATGCTCCTTTCCTGGGGATGCATTAAAGTCTTATGTTATATCAGCTTAAAGTTCAGGGCTTCTGAGTGATAGACAGTTCTGTTTACCACTTCCAAATGTAGTCCCTCGTGGTCTGGGAATAAATGAAAACAAAAAACACAAGATATATATATCTTCACTTCAAAGTATAAAGTGGATGATTAGGGGCAGGCTGACTGGCAACAATAAACTCCTCCCATTTAGAAAGAAAACAGGAGGAATACAATGGTAGATTGGCCATAGCAGTGACAAACCTTCCTTGATAGGCTATGTGGAGTCGCCTGCCCTGGATTTACAGGGAAGTTCCTGATTAGTCCCTGTGTCTGGACTCTGGGAGAAACTCCCTTATCCATCATTTTCTGAGGATCCTGGCTTTACCCTCTGGATGTTCTTCATTATTATCCTCCTTGGCTGCATCTGAAAAGGATGATGAGAAGGGTACCTTCCTGGAGAAGGTACGTATTTCAAGTCTTTTCAATAATGCAAGTTTGGAAGCCAGAGAGTCATTTTAATATCACATATTTAATTAAATCACTCATAATTTATTTGACAAATGCAATATCCTCAGCAACATATAAAGTTTTTAATCTACTTGCTTCTGGTCAGTTCCATCTTACCCTACAAAAATTTCCAAAATGGTTGTCCTTACACAAATGTTTCATGTCTGTATAAATAAGAAAATAGATAAACATTTTTCCCTTACTTATCCCAGGCCTCTTTCTTTCACTTTGGTGGCAGTTATCTTGAAGGCATTCGAAACAATGGTCTCTATGTTTAATTGAAAAGTCTTAATGGGCCTCTTAATTTTTTTTTCAGTCTCACTTATTGCTGTTTGATACCCCAAACCTGTGAGATTTTATACCCCTCTGAAACCTTAGATTTCTGAACTCTCTCTTGCTCTTAATTCTTATTTGCAAACCAGTCAATTCTTTTCCTTTCTCATCTTCTCATAATATCTTGCTAAAATATTTTGGAGAACAACCCTGGCACACCGTTTTGACTTTCATCAACCACTTCCCCTAGGGCCAGAGACTCATTAAACATGGCCTTCTTCTAAGTTATTGCATATAATGTTTTTAAAAAGTTTGCTTATACACCACATGTGCCATCGTGTTGCCAGTCTCCAAGATCTGTTCCTTCACTATCCAAATCCTCTAAACAAATTCTCCCACTTTCAGTTCCAATTTCTGTGTTAGACTGGGTAGACAAACTGCATCACAAATAGCTCCAAAATGTAAAACGTTTCGAACAATATGATTTAATTTTGTTCTTTTAATGGTACTGATATGTCTGAGTAACCTTCCCTATGTAGTTATTCACTAAAATAGGCTGATCACTTGGTGACCTTTAACACAGCTTCCAAGATTGCCTTGGGGTCACCTTATTCCAGGCAGCCAGGAGCAGAAAAGGTGCATGGAGGAGGATGCATGGCAAATTTTTATGGGACGGGCCTGGAAATAGTGCACATAATTTCCACTCACATTACATTGTTCAGCTTTTAGTCACATTGCATCTGTAAGAGAGGCTTGGAAATATAGTCTATATGCTTAGAAAAAAGAGTAGAACATGAAATTTAGGACATGGAAGTTGGAGAGTGCATTTTGCTTAAAATAGCCATACAAATGTGAAACAAAAAAGTTCCTGCCTATAGATGCATGGTATAGCTTGTTTATGTCACTTTTGTAGTTTGAAAGTGCCCTTAAACCTGTCTTGAATATTAGTTCTTTTCTTCTTTTTCATAAATTCTAAAGAATTCCAGGGCCAGGCGTGGTGGCTCACACCTGTAATCCCAGCACTTTTGGAGGCTGAGGCAGGAGGATCACGAGGTCAGGAGTTTGAGACCAGCCTGCCTGGCCAATATGGTGAAACCCCGTCTCTACTGAAAATACAAAAATCAGCTGGGCGTGGTGGTGCTCGCCTATAGTCCCAGCTACTCGGGAGGCTGAGGCAGAAGGATCGCTTGAACCTGGGAGGCGGAGGTTGCAGTGAGCTGAGATTGTGCCACTGCAGTACAGCCTGTGTGATGGAGTCTCACTCTGTCTCAAACAAACAAACAAACAAACAAACAAAAATTCCAGTTCAAACTGAATGTCCCTAACCTCAGAGAACTATAGTCAATTCTTCACTGAAGCATTTGTATCTTCCTCGTCTTTAATTCTGGTATATTTTGTTTATTCTGTTTAGCTCCTGTAACATTGCATACAAATTATTTATATTAATAGTTTTAGGACTTGGGTGAAATTCTTGAACTATGAATAATTTTAGGAACTTATTTCTATAAATCATATTGCATCAACAAAAATGCTTGGTATGTAGAAGGATGTTACTGAATGAGAGACAAATAATTACTGAAATAAATGTTATTTCTAACAATTTCTATTCAAAATTTAAGATATTTGTATTCAAGTGGTATGGCTCAGGGGAGATGAAAATGCAAATTAGTGAAAAATGATCTCTCATTTTTGCATGTTTACATACTCGACTTCGCTTCTTTAGTCATTACCATGAATGGAAAATTGTGGCTGATGCTGAAGATAAATAGACATCATTAGTGTTTGTTCTAGAAATTATATAGTAGCTGACTGAAAGTGGTAAGAAAGGTATTCATGAAGCTTTGTATCTCTTAACAATTTGGTTTAGTACCGGAGTTACAATATAAATAGAACAAACTATTTTTTTCATGAAGATCTCTGAACATATATCTGAATTTGGCTATGCCTTCTGAAATTGTGATGAAAACATAGATAGAAAGCATCATAAATGCATGCCCATCTGCAACTGTTTGACTATAAAGCTGTCAGTGAAGTAGAATATCGGAAATATTTTCATAGAAATGTTCGTTGGAATTAATATTTTCTTTCTGGTGGTGGCAACAAGAGGACTTGTCTTAGGAATGCTGGGAAACGGGCTCATTGGACTGGTAAACTGCATTGAGTGGGCCAAGAGTTGGAAGGTCTCATCAGCTGATTTCATCCTCACCAGCTTGGCTATAGTCAGAATCATTCGACTGTATTTAATACTATTTGATTCATTTATAATGGTATTGTCCCCTCATCTATATACCATCCGTAAACTAGTAAAACTGTTTACTATTCTTTGGGCATTAATTAATCAGTTAAGTATCTAGTTTGCCACCTGCCTAAGCATTTTCTACTTGCTTAAGATAGCCAATTTCTCCCACTTATTTTTTTGCCTGGCTGAAGTGGAGAATGAACAGAGTGGTTCTTGTGCTTTTCCTGCGGTCTTTGTTCTTATCGTTTGTTTACCTTTTTATGTCCAATGCCATTAGTGAGTTGTGAAAAAAACATGACTTTGCACTCAGATACAAGTAAAATAGTCTATCTTCAAGGCCTTAGGCTTCTCAGCTTGACATACGTTATTCCCTTTCTTCTGACTCTGACCTCTTTGCTCCTTTTATTTATATCCTTAGTGAGACACACCAAGAATTTGCAGCTCAACTCTCTGGGCTCAAGGGACTCCAGCACAGAGGCCCATAAAAGGGCCATGAAAATGGTGATAGCCTTCCTCCTCCTTTTTATTATTAACTTTATTTCCACTTTAATAGGAGATTGGATCTTCCTTGAGGTAGAGAATTATCAGGTCATGATGTTTATTATGATGATTTTACTTGCCTTTCCCTCAGGCCACTCATTTATTATAATTTTGGGAAACAACAAGCTAAGACAGAGCTCCTTGAGACTACTGTGGCATCTTAAATTCTCTCTGAAAAAAGCAAAACCTTTAACTTCATAGACAAAATTTAACTTTCTGCATCTATGAAAGAAATAATAGAAGACCTCATAAGTTAATTTTATATTTAACAATTTCTTTTTTGGAGTCCTTTTAAGTGTTGTTAAATAATTCTGAAATTTTCCTTAAAATATTCACTAACCATATTTTCTCAAAGTTGCCGGACATAATGTCTGATTCAAGGAAATGTCTCTACTATAATAATGCCTGCTAGTAACAATAGAGTATGTGAGACTTGGAGAAAAAGATAAACATTTATAATGGAATATAAATAAATGCACATATGATATACAAGGCAATATGAATAAATATATATAAAATCACAGAAAAAAGTGTAATGTAATTTTTTGAACAAAAAATTATAAATACAGTAGGGAAAAAATTATAAAATGTTAAGTATAATTAAGTAAGTTTGTTAAAGCATAATATATATCAGTGTAATGCTTGGATATGTTTGTGGATGTGTAGTGCTACTTTGACTACTGTAATAAAATAACCCAGATGTAATCACAGTAGCTGGGAATGTAATGAAGCAGTTAAGAGAATTTTGCTTGCAAATGATGTTACTAAAATATGAAATGAAGATCATGTATTATTTTAATAGAGGAAATGGATATGTCCATATGAAAGAAAAAAAACCCAGCACTGTTGTTTGAGGTAACTTTTACCATAATTTTAAAAATGGAATAAAGGGAAAAAATAGCTGGTAAATCATGGGAAGTATGTTGGTTTTATATTAGTCTTCATGAAGTAGTAGGTGAAAATATTCTTCCAGGTTAAGCCCTGATGCAGAGAATGGTGTAAGAATGATAAGGCCATAGGGAAGAATTGTTGTTTTCTCCAGACAAAATGAACTCTTCCATTCAGGAAATTAGAGTGAGGTCACATCTATCACATTTATCAGGTAGGGTTCTCTCATTTAGCTATTAATATCATCATCACCACCACCACCACTATCATCATCATATATTTCATTTAACTATTTGTTTTTTAAATGTTTACATGCACGATTTGGAGAATGTCTAGGTAATTTCCTAAAGATTATTATTGTGGGTAAGTTGCATTATTAAAGAGCAAAGCTTATGTGAAACTTAATACATTTAGAGTTAGAAGTTGAGTGTATTTTTACTTAAAATGCATTGCTTGAACAAATGATTTATAAATAATCTTAAACTCATCAGAGGCTAACTACCAGAAATATTTAGTTTTTAGTGTAAATAGCATTTGTATAATAAGAGAGATAAAGTCAATAAACCATTTTATAATTAAACTCTTATTTCAAAAGAGAGGCTTTAAAAGTCAATGAACCAAACAGAAATAAGCCCTCACATCTTCAATATCATACTCTCTTGATGATGGACTTGTAAGACACAAAGCCCCATGTCTAACAGTGTAAGGAGAGTAAAAGGACTACTTAAATATTAAGCCATGTTATAAGATGGTGTTGCTGTGATTGATGTATTATCTTTTATTTATGGTAATGGCATTTTGAGATCAAGTTCTGCTCCTTGAATTTTCATGTAATAAGAGTCTGTGGTGAAGATGCAGCAACAGAGAAGCTGCTACTTGCATCAAATTTATTTTTAGTTCTTTTCAACTTGGTTAAGAATGATTAGACTCACGCTTTTATTCTATTCTTGACCAAAGTGTGGGTAATCCCAGCACTTTGGGAGGCTGCGGCAGGCAGATCACGAGGTCAGGAGATCGAGACCATCCTGGCTAACATGGTGAAACCCCATCTCTACTAAAAATACAAAAAAATTAGCCGGGCATGGTGGCAGGTGCCTATAGACCCAGCTACTCGGGAGGCTGAGGCAGGAGACTGGTGTGAACCCGGGAGGCAGAGCTTGCAGTGAGCCAAGATCGCGCCACTGCACTCCAGCCTGGGTGACAGAGCAAGCCTGCGTCTAAAAAAAAAAAAAAAAATTGGTGTTTTCTTTGACCAAAGTGTGGGTAAAAGAAGAGAATTATTGGTATTTTCTTGTCAAGTTTACTAAAAGTTTTTAAAAAATCTTTAAGAATTTGGTATTATGAGTATTTTATTTATCCATAGAAATAACTTACAGAAATAGAGTGAAAGTTTCTTTCTACCACCAAAATAATGACTGAAAAAATTAATATTAAGAATTCAATATTTAACAATCAATTAGATTTAACAATCAGTTAGAAATGGTAGAATAAAGAATTAGTGAATTGGAAGATAACTACACAGAGTGAAGCATAATTAGACAAAGAGATGGAAAAATACAGGCTAAAGGGGAAGAGCATTGAGGCTACAGTCAGAAAGGCTTAACATACTTTTGGAGTTCTGGAAGATTAGAAGAGAGAATGTAGGGAAGAAGTAATGTTGCTGAGACCTTTCCAAAAATAATAAAATGTATCAATCCATACATTCGAGAAACCAACAAACCTCAGACAAGATAACTGAAAACAAATTAACATATAAATGCTACAGGAAACCAAAGACCAATAGAAAATTTGAAAAGTAGCCTGAGAAAAAAGATAGATTATGTTGAAAGGATCAACTGTTTGAATGACAAGTGATTTTCAGCAGAAAGCATGGAAGCTAGAATTCAATGTAATATATTTTCAGTGTGTTTCAAAGGAGTAGCAGACATTTCATAAACAGAAATTCAAAAGGATACATTTTCAGATAGAAAAAAGTTACTGAAAATACAAAGTTGAAGATGCAAGAAGGAATGAAAATAAAGGCAATGGCAAATGTGCGTAACTAAAAGGACTATTGACTGTATAGAACAATAATATCTTGTGTTAAAAGAGGTAATGAATAAAATGTATGCCAATAACATATAGACTGGGGTGAAGGTGAAAAGATTAAATTTAGTTTAATTATTATTTAACCTTTTCATTGTCTGTGAAGAGAGTCTGAGTATCAAATTCAATGCATATACTCTAGCTATATATCCAAGAGAAGTGCATTAAATGACATGTAAAATAATGCCCATGGTAGTATTATTTGTAATTGTTCTAAAAAGAAACAGCTCAAATACCTATAAATTAAGGAAGGATTAATAATTATAGCAAATTCATATAATGGAACAATATAGAGAAATTGAAAGCAATGAACCACATGTACATGCAACAAAGTGGATACATTTTATCAACATAATGCTTAAAAAAAGAAGTCATAAACAAGAAGAAAATATATTAAGGTTGTATTTATAAAGAGTTCAAAAATGAGGCAAACTCAAATCAATTTCTGCAATAAACGAATCATCTTGAAAATTGTATTTACAACTTCACAACTTCCTGTGTTAAAGTCAGGAAATTTTCTTTCTATATGTCACATAAAATTCTAGTTTTGATTTTTAACAACTGACCTAATTGGTTTCTAATGTTCTAGAAAAGACTTATAATCATTTTTCCAGGTTTCTGTACCTTCTCTGGTTCTCTGGTTTTCAAGTGAGAAAAGCTACACCTAAGCACCCCCATGAATTATACTGGAAAGTTTTCCACCTCTCTTTTTTGAGCAGAGATTTAGGAAAGTTGGCATTTGGATCCAAGTGACCCAAGCTTTAGGGCAGAATGAAAATTGCAAATCAGTGCAAGTTACTTTTTCTCCTATTTGCATGTAATCAAAGTTGAATCCAGCCCTTCAATCAAAATTACAGATCGAGTGTTACTGCCTGGGATTGGCAGAACTGTTTGATAGGAACGAAAATGTTTTTATGTTAATATAAAATTTGTGCCCACATGTATGAAGGATTTTTCTATTAAAACTCTACAATTAAGCGGAAGATGTGACACACTGCAAGAAATATGGCACCATGAAACTAACTACAACTGTATACTATTGGGGCTCAGAAAATGATACTGAAAATATATCGCTCTTTGACATGCTGGACTAAACAGGAAGCCTCAAATTCTCTGTCTGAAGTTTTCCCTTCTGTCTGTGTCTCTGATCCTCTTTCCTGAAGCACCAGAGGGAATTCTCTCTGGAATTTCCTTATCTGATTAAGAAAATTTCTTTCCAGAAGAAATGCAATTTTTAAAAGACTCCTTGTCTAGGAATCTCATCAAATGACCAGGATAAGATACTGGATCAGATAACCACTGGATAAGATACTTGGAGTTGTCAACATGCCTAGACAGACTTTTCAGTTGTTCTTTTGAAGGCAGCTCCAAGAGATTCCCTGGGTGACTTTATCTGCATAATAAGACAACCTTTGTTCACAGTGAAGTTCTGGCCCTAACCTTCCCTCCACCTCCCGTAGAGCTCAGAGGAAATTTGTCCTAGGCCATTGCTCTTTAGATTATGCATTTCCTCTGGAAATCATTTATTCTTACATCCCTTGCTTTCCTCTCCCCAATTAAGAGTATACTTAAGAGTCAATTGTCTGGCCCCTGCTTTGGGTCTCATACTTGGTATATGGCTGTCATTTATATATGCACATTAATAAAAACTTGTGTTTTCTCTTATTTATCTATTGTCAGTTTATTTTCAATGAACCCTCAGAGCAGATGAAAACTTTCTCTTGGCTTCTTACAATACTTGATTCTCTTTTAATGTATTTCAGTTGAATTGGAGTATATGCTACTGATGGGAGAATTAAAAGAATTATTGATAAAAAACATTTTGGAATTGTTTGATTGTATCCATAAACTGCCAAAGTTGGCTGATGTATCATAAGATTTATTTGAGTGACTTTATTCTAACAAATTTGTCTCCAGTATTGAGTATGTTGAATACTATATACTATTTTTCAAAACTCAAAAATATTTTATACTATTTTTAAATATTACTTCTTTATTTCAATATTAAAGTAGAAAAAACATTCCACTATTTTGCTCTGGACACAAACCACTTGTTTCGCTCTCTTGTTTGCCATTTTTTTGGGGGTAATATCTGTTAGTGAGCTCATAATATTTATCATAATTCACATTATATGTATTATATTGTTATATCTACCCATTCATAAGATCCATTTCTACTCATATATCTCAGGTGTGTGTTGGTATAAAATTCACAAAATCTTACAAGTCTTTTGGTCTGAATTTTACTTTGTCCTGTGTCACATTTTGTATCTTGTCATTTGGGGCCTGCTGGGAATTGAGTGTTATCATATATTTAAACATAAGAGGAGGCAGGGATATATATAGAGGGGTATCAGCATTCCTCTGTAAGCCAAACAGCTCAAGGTAACTCATTACAGGTTTTTAAGGCAAGGGAAGGAAGACTAACCTTCTCAGCGAGGGGAGGAAGAGTGCATCTCCTGGCAACGGTGCACCAGCAGAATTTAGGGGTTCAAGATCCTCCAGATTCTTTGGGATCTGCCATTACAGGCCCACCCCAGTTTTTAAGTTCCTATTTCTTTTTTAGCAAATTTCCTGACTTTAACACAGGAAGTTGTGAAGTTGTAAATACAATTTTCAAGATGATTTATTTATTGCAGAAATTGATTTGAGTTTGCTTTTCAGAAATTTTAGTACTTCTGCTATAGGAGATAAGGACTTTTTTGAAGACAGTCGTAGGAATGTTATGTTAGTTTACATAATCCGAAGCTAGTAATTCAGAGCCTTAAGTTCATAATTTTTCTTTCTCCAAGTTTTCTAGCACACTTATAAGTCAGCAACGAACCCTATTCTACTTATGTTCACTAAAATGTTCTATGGCAGCCTCACTCAATGTCTTGCCTTCTATAGGAACTTGATTATAAGTTATTTTGTAAGTGATCATCTATGGACAATAATTTAAATAACTGTTGTGTCACCGCATGCCAGGGATTGCCAGTGTCTCCTTTACCGTTGGAAACAGGGTCATGAATACCCTTAAATCTAATTATATGAGACAACTAATACCAGACAACTCCTACCTAGACTTGGAATTTGATTCTGTCATGATCAACAGTCTCATTCTGAGTCTCAGGCAGAAGGGGCAGCTGTACTTGAAGTGTAGCTGTGGCTATTCTCATGGTGATCATCAAAATACAAGAAGGCCCAGACAAACTGATAATGCATTTTTAAGATCTCTGCTCATATACATTGTGCTAATATTCTAAAGCAATTCACAGACAAGTACAACATTAATGGGCATGGAAATTATACTTTGCCCACAGTGGGAGAGCACAGCAAAGTTACATGCAAAGGCTGTGAGTAATACTATTAAAGGGAATAAATAATTGGGGCTAAAAATCCAATCTACTGTCATCTCCCAAGCTGAACTTTCTTAACCATAGATGTCAATAAACATAAAAGTGGAGAATAGTTAAAACTAAAATATAGTACAGATAAGTGATAAAACAAAAATAAATTGATCTTGAGAGAAGAGAAATTTTCTTCTATAAAAATATTAAAACAGTTTTGTGATAAAAATAAAAAATTCTAATGTGCAATTTTCTAAAAAGTATAGATTATCAAAATTTTCTTGTAAAGAAATACTCTTGCATATGTCAAAAATAATGAAAGAAATTTTCTTGTATTATACTATCTCACAAATTATCTTTTCCAAAAGAGTTGTAGGTTATATTTAAAATTTTGTTTATAATAAACATCACACACCGGGGCCTGTTGTGGGGTGGGGGGAGGGGGGAGGGGGAAGGGATAGCATTAGGAGATATACCTAATGCTAAATGACGAGTTAATGGGTGCTGCACACCAACATGGCACATGTATACATATGTAACAAACCTGTACGTTGTGCACATGTACCCTAAAACTTAAAGTATAATAATAATTAAAAAAAGAAGAAAGAAAATGGAAAAAGAAAAATAAAGAAAAACATTAAGTTATTTAAAAATCTAAACACCCGACTGTAAAAATAATACCTATGTATTATTGCTATATTATAAAATTTTAGATCTGGCTACCATCATGAAAAAAAAATATGACATACCAAAGAAATGCTGATTCCAGAAATGTGAAGATGGTTTAACCCATGGTAATATATTATGATAATCAACTCACTAATAGATTTAAGAGGGAAATAATATGTTTATAAAATAGTTGTGGACACACTCTTTAAATAAATTTAGTACCCAATTATAATAGAAAATTTAACCAACTAAAGAAAGACTTTCTTTCCCTAATATAATTTGTCCCCTAAACAACTACAGGCAATCTTGTAACAAATGCTTATCATATTATGAGTTCCACAGAAAAGAGGCTTGAAGTAATCTTGTATCCTAGTAATTTATTTGAGCCTGCATTACCATGGAAGCAGGAATGGAAGTAAAGGATGAGTTAGGCAAAAAAAGGAAGAGAGAAAATACAAGACATATTTAGCTGGCTGTCACTTCATAATCACAGTTGATTTCTTCGTATGTGTTTAAAAGGAGTCTGTGAAATTTCTGTCTCTATCCAAGGGAAGAAATAAAAAGAATGTATATATTGGCTCTCATCTTTCATTGGTCAGAGTTTTCAGGGTGTCCCCTCTGTGTATTTCTCAACTATATTTTCTAGCCTCTCTAACCAGCCCCTGGTGTAGCAAGATCCCGAGAGAGCAGCAACAGCACTTATGGCATAAGCAGGGCACATTGAAAAAAAAAAAAGCAAGGATGACCAGCAGTCTGTTTTTGGCCAGCAGCCTGCAACTTCGTGTGCATTTGTGTGGATGTTGACAGACTCTTGCAGGTTCTCACACTTCAGCTGCTGCAGGTAAATCCCAAGACAGGAAAAGAGAGGTGGGTAGTATCAGGCTTAATGACTGAGGGGAAATGCAGTCAGGCTGCACTCATCTCCTTGGAGCAGCTTCAAGCAGGGTCCAGCCAGCCCAGCAAGAGGCAGAGTATCAGAATGATATGACTCCAGTTTCAAAGGCCTGTCACAGCTCAGTGAGACTCCTCAAAAGAGAAACCACCTCTCTGACATCTTTAAGAACACAGTTGGCAAAAAACAAAACAAACCAATGAAACCTATAGAAAGTGTTTCTGGGCAATATATAATGGAGTCTGGTATAGAGGATCAATACAAAAATATTTTCACTGATATCTTTTTTCATTATTATTATACTTTAAGTTTTAGGGTACATGTGCACAATGTGCAGGTAAGTTACATATGTATACATGAGCCATGCTGGTGTGCTGCACCCATTAACTCGTCATTTAGCATTAGGTATATCTCCTAATGCTATCCCTTCCCCTTCCCCCGACCCCACAACAGTCCCCAGAATGTGATGTTCCCCTTCCTGTGTCCATGTGTTCTCATTGTTCAATTCCCACCTATGAGTGAGAACATGCAGTGTTTGGTTTTTTGTCCTTGCCATAGTTTACTGAGAATGATGATTTCCAATTTCATCCATGTCCCTACAGAGGACATGAACTCATCATTTTTTATGGCTGCATAGTATTCCATGGTGTATATGTGCCACATTTTCTTAATCCAGTCTATCATTGTTGGACATTTGGATTGGTTCCAAGTCTTTGCTATTGTGAATAGTGCTGCAATAAACATACGTGTGCATGTGTCTTTATAGCAGCATGATTTATAATCCTTTGGGTTTATACCCAGTAATGGGATGGCTGGGTCAAATGGTATTTCTAGCTCTAGATCCCTGAGGAATCGCCACACTGACTTCCACAATGGTTGAACTAGTTTACAGTCCCACCAACAGTGTAAAAGTGTTCCTATTTCTCCACATCCTCTCCAGCACCTGTTGTTTCCTGACTTTTTAGTGATTGCCATTCTAACTGGTGTGAGATGGTATCTCACTGTGGTTTTGATTTGCATTTCTCTGATGGCCAGTGATGATGAGCATTTTTTCTTGTGTTTTTTGGATGCATAAATATCTTCTTTTGAGAAGTGTCTGTTCATATCCTTCACCCACTTGTTGATGGGGTTGTCTGTTTTTTTCTTGTAAATTTGTTTGAGTTCATTGTAGATTCTGGATATTAGCCCTTTGTCAGATGAGTAGGTTGCGAAAATTTTCTCCCATTCTGTAGGTTGCCTGTTCACTCTGATGGTAGTTTCTTTTGCTGTGCAGAAGCTCTTTAGTTTAATGAGATCCCATTTGTCAATTTTGTCTTTTGTTGCCATTGCTTTTGGTGTTTTAGACATGAAGTCCTTGCCCATGCCTATGTCCTGAATGGTAATGCCTAGGTTTTCTTCTAGGGTTTTTATGGTTTTAGGTCTAATGTTTAAGTCTTTAATCCATCTTGAATTAATTTTTGTATAAGGTGTAAGGAAGGGATCCAGTTTCAGCTTTCTACATATGGCTAGCCAGTTTTCCCAGCACCATTTATTAAATAGGGAATCCTTTCCCCATTGCTTGTTTTTCTCAGGTTTGTCAAAGTTCAGATAGTTGTAGATATGCAGCATTATTTCTGACGGCTCTGTTCTGTTCCATTGATCTATATCTCTGTTTTGGTACCAGTACCATGCTGTTTTGGTTACTGTAGCCTTGTAGTATAGTTTGAAGTCAGGTAGCGTGATGCCTCCAGCTTTGTTCTTTTGGCTTAGGATTGACTTGGCGAAAGCAAGAGCAAACACATTCAAAAGCTAGCAGAAGGCAAGAAATAACTAAAATCAGAGCAGAACTGAAGGAAATAGAGACACAAAGAACCTTTCAAAAAATTAATGAATCCAGGAGCTGGTTTTTTGAAAGGATCAACAAAATTGATAGACTGCTAGCAAGACTAATAAAGAAAAAAAGAGAGAAGAATCAAATAGACACAATAAAAAATAATAAAGGGGATATCACCACCGATCCCACAGAAATACAAACTACCATCAGAGAGTACTACAAACACCTCTACGCAAATAAACTAGAAAATCTAGAAGAAATGGATAAATTCCTTGACACATACACTCTCCCAAGACTAAACCAGGAAGAAGTTGAGTCTCTGAATAGACCAATAACAGGAGCTGAAATTGTGGCAATAATCAATAGCTTACCAACCAAAAAGAGTCCAGGACCAGATGGATTCACAGCCGAATTCTACCAGAGGTACAAGGAGGAACTGGTACCATTCCTTCTGAAACTATTCCAATCAATAGAAAAAGAGGGAATCCTCCCTAACTCATTTTATGAGGCCAGCATCATCCTGATACCAAAGCTGGGCAGAGACGCAACCAAAAAAGAGAATTTTAGACCAATATCCTTGATGAACATTGATGCAAAAATCCTCAATAAAATACTGGCAAACCGAATCCAGCAGCACATCAAAAAGCTTATCCACCATGATCAAGTGGGCTTCATCCATGGGATGCAAGGCTGGTTCAATATATGCAAATCAATAAATGTAATCCAGCATATAAACAGAACCAAAGACAAAAACCACATGATTATCTCAATAGATGCAGAAAAGGCCTTTGACAAAATTCAACAACCTTCACGCTAAAAACTCTCAATAAATTAGGTATTGATGGGACGTATCTCAAAATAATAAGAGCTATCTATGACAAACCCACAGCCAATATCATACTGAATGGGCAAAAACTGGAAGCATTCCCTTTGAAAACTGGCACAAGACAGGGATGCCCTCTCTCACCACTCCTATTCAACATAGTGTTGGAAGTTGTGACCAGGGCAATGAGGCAGGAGAAGGAAATAAACGGTATTCAGTTAGGAAAAGAGGAAGTCAAATTGTCCCTGTTTGCAGACGACATGATTGTATATCTAGAAAATCCCATTGTCTCAGCCCAAAGTCTCCTTAAGCTGATAAGCAACTTCAGCAAAGTCTCAGGATACAAAATCAATGTACAAAAATCACAAGCATTCTTATACACCAATAACAGACTAACAGAGAGCCAAATCATGAGTGAACTCCCATTCACAATTGCTTCAAAGAGAATAAAATACCTAGGAATCCAACTTACAAGGGATGTGAAGGACCTCTTCAAGGAGAACTACAAACCACTGCTCAATGAAATAAAAGAGGATACAAACAAATGGAAGAACATTCCATGCTCATGGGTAGGAAGAATCAATATCGTGAAAATGGCCATACTGCCCAAGGTAATTTATAGATTCAATGCCATCCCCATCAAGCTAACAATGACTTTCTTCACAGAATTGGAAAACTACTTTAAAGTTCACTGATATCTTAAATAAGGCAAAAATGCTCTTTAACATCTGTAGAACTCAACATTGTTCTAGCACTTTTAGCTAATGTAATAGGACAAGCAATATAAACTCATCTAGGAACTGGAATGAGATAGACAAATTTACAATATAATGATGTGATGATGTCACTGCTTAAATGAACACTCCTAAAGAATCAACAGGTACTATTAGCATAAGAAAAGATAACAAGGTTCTTCATATAACATCGATTTACCAAAAAACAGTGTATCTATTGCCAACAGTAAATTACAATATGTAAATTTAAAAAATTCTTTGGCCAGGTGTCATGGCTCATGTCTGTAATCCCAGCATGTTGGGAGGCCCAGGCAGGTGGATTCCTTGAGTCCAGGGGCTCAAGACCAGCCTGGGAAACCTGGTGAAACCGTGTCTCTACTAAAAATACAAAAATTAGCGGTGTGTGGTGGCACACACCTGTAGTCACAGCTACTCAGTAAGCTGAGGTGGGAGGATCTGATCTTGGGAGGCTGATGCTGCAGTGAGCCGAGATCGCGCCACTGCACTCCAGCCTGGGCAACTGGAGTGAGACATTGTTTCAAAAACAATACATGAAGAGATGTATCATGTTCATAGATAAACTGAGTATTATAAAATATAATTTCTTTCTAGATTAATATAGTCAATGCAAGTTGTGGCAAAGTCTTATTAAAGTTTTGCGGAAATTGTGAAAAATGACTTGAAAAATACATATAGAAAATTAACAGTTCGGAGATAGGCAAGAAAACTTGGAAAAAGAAGAAGGTAAGTTCTTTACTGGGTATCAAGATTTATTATAGTGTAATGATGAAAATTGAAAGAATTTTGGCACAGAAGGATGCAATAGACAACAAAAGGGAATAGTAAGGCAGAATATATTTAGGTAATTTACTTTTTGTGCACATGTAATTTGTCTTACAATAAGATTATCATTAGAAATTAGTAGATAAGATGTGTTTTTTGCAGTAAATTGTTTGGATAATGGACTTTTCATAAGGAGGAAAATCAATGTGTAACTTGTATCACAAAAAATAGTCCAAAAGGACTAAGATCTAAACATTAAGAACAAAATTTAAAGCTAAGAAAAATGTAAATTATTTTATAAATTCAGGGTAGGTGAGGATTTTATCTGAAAGATACAAAAACCACAAAACATAAAGGAAAAGTTTGATAAGTTTTAAATTCCTTGGAAAGATCTGTTAATTAATCCAGCTAAGTTAGCTGTCTGACTCTAGTCTAATTATACATCTAGGCATTTGATAATGAATACAGAAAGAGTATTAAAACTAGGAATATATGGATGAAATTAAAAATACTCATTTTACCTAATAAAAAAATCATGTTCTTAGATGACATTCTCATTGTTGTGATGACATCAATTCTTGCCAAATTCAGGTATACATGTAAGATGTTAAGGCAAATATTGCCATTTTTTTTCTCATTTAGAGTAGTTTATTATGCTAAGGGCCTGGGAAACACTTTAGATTCAGTAAAAAAAACTACCTAGAAGAATAAAGCAGAATGAATACTAGAAAAAGACTGAAAGAAAAAAAATGTGTAAAGACGCACAGAATGAGGAACATCTGTTGGTAAAATATATTATAAAAATACTAAAAAGGTATCCAGATAGTAAAAAGCTCAGAAACATGAAAAATCTCTTTCACTACTGGTAGAAGCATATAGTAGGATATAGTCAAAGCGAATTTAGCATAAAAATACATACACTTTATATCTATGTATCTATGTACACATACTTTTTGATATGCATGTATAACTACATATTTCTGAAACGTTTCTAAAAATAATCATAAAATGATTACAGATATGCAAAAACAGTTATAGAGCTATGTATAGTTTGTTAACATTAAGATAAAAGCCTTAACATTTTTTATGCTTAAAAACATTATAATGCTTCATTATAGCAGAATACACATTTGTCATTAAAAGAGATATAGAGCAGAATTTCTCAGAGTTCAGCAGAATATTCATAGTTGTTACAAAAAAATGTTCTTAATTTTTAAATATTTTAGGCAATGCTGGCTTAAGCGACTTTAACCTTTTTGTTTGTTTTTAAATCATAAGCTTTCTGTATACTCTGTTAGTATGTAAAAGGAAGTGCTCTATGTGGAGTTTCCCAAATTTCCTTTTCTGTGAAATCCTTTTCTGTTTTAGAAAATACCTTTTAATTCTAACATTTTCAGGAATTTAATTTGAGAAATTCTAATATTGAGGGATTATGTATCAGTGAGGAACAATTTCATTTTTTAGAACATGTAGACTGGGTATGGTGGCTCACACCTGTAATCCTAGCACTTTGGGAGGCCAAGGAGGATAGATTATTTGAGGTCAGGAGTTTCAGACCATCCTAGCCAACATGGTGAAATCCCATCTCTACTAAAAATACAAAAATTAGCCATGCATGGTGTTATGTATCTGTAATCCCAGACACTCAGGAGGCTGAGGCAGGGAGAATCACTTGAACCTGAGAGGCAGAGGTTGCAGTGACCCGAGATCGCGCCACTGTATTCCAACCTGGGCAATGGGGCGAGACTCCGTTTCAAAGAAAACCAAAAACAAAAAACAAAACAAAAAAAGTATAGGCACATGTGTAGGTTTGGATGGAACAATAAACACTGCAGAGATTCAGGGGATTGTGGCAGATGGATGTGAGGCAGGACTAGATTGCAGCTCTAGACAGACCAGCATGTGGATGCTTGTATTGTGAATTTTAGCTACAAATCCACTGCAAGAACAAACCAGTAATCCCAAGAGGACCCACAGATCCTCTGAAGGAAGCAGAGTGCTCCTGCAGGACCCAGGAGACACCCAAATACAGTGACTTCCCCAACTGCAGGAGTAGGAAAGGGAGACCCTCCTCTTCTGAACACACACCACCACTGGAGAACTGAAGGTCTGTTTGCAGGAGAAGTTTCTGGCTTTACCTTGAGCTGAGTTAAGTTAGAGAGCTGAGTGAAATGCAGGGGTAGAGGAAGCAGGGCAGAAGGCCCTGGGAGCTCACTGGGTCCCCAAACAGCCGATTCCTGCCTGGCACCATAGTACTCCATCAGGAGGGTGGCCAGAGGAGCAGGGGGTAAAACCCCCCAGGCAGAAGAAATCTCTAGCTGAACTTTATAACAATTTGAACTGGTCAAGAAGCCTCCTGGCCAGAACTCGGGGGAGGATGTGAATCGGGCATGCAGACTTCACAGGCTGGGGAAGAACTAAAGCCCTTTTCTCTCATGGCTGGGAGGCAGATAGCCTTGGGCAAGTTTTCAAGCCCATTTTGCCCTCTGCCTGGAAATAGAATCGGTGCTGTCGGCTGGGAGGGGCATGGTGGGAGTGAGACCAGCCCTTCAGTTTGCATGGTTGCTGGGTGAGACCTGTGACTGTTGCCTTTCCCCCACTTTCCTGACAACCTGCAAGACTCAGCAGAGGCAGCCATAATCCTCCTAGGTACCCAACTCCAGTGACCTGGGAATCTCATCCCCATCCCCCACAGCAGCCACAGCAAGACCCACAGGAGAGTCTGAGCTCAGACATACCTAGCCCTGCCCCCACCTGATGGTCCTTCCCTATCCACCCTGGTAGTGGAAGACAAAGGGTATATAATTCTGGGAGATCTAGGGCCACACCCACTGCCAGTCCCTCACCACACTACTACAGCTGATGCTTTCTGGAAAGCACCACCTCCTGGTAGGAGGCCAACCAGCACAAAAATAGAGCATTAAACCACCAAAGCTAAGGACCCCCGTGGAGTCCATTGCACCCTCCATCACCTCAACTGGAACATGCACTGGTGTCCAAGGCTGAGAGTCCCATAAATTGTTCACATCACAGGACTCTGTGCAGACAACTCCCAGTACCAGCCTGGAGCCAGTAGACTTGCTAATAAGTTGTCATCTCCATCTATTACAGTATTTGCTCTAATCATATTTGACTTATATACCTGGGAGCTCCAGTGTTGAGTGCATATATATTTACAATTGTTATATCCTTTCCATATGTTGACCTTCTTTGTCACTTCATAGTTTTTGTCTTGAAATCTATTTTGTCTAATATTAGTATAGCTATTCCTCTTTTTTTGGCTTCCATTGCCATGGAGTGTCTTTTTCCATCCCTTTATTTTCTATCTGTGCATGTCTGTATAGGCGAATTGTGTTTCTTATAGGCAACTGATTAGCTAGACTATGCCTTTTGATTGGAGAGTTTAGTCCATTTACATTCAATGTTATTATTGGTAGTAAGGACTTACTTCTGCCATTTTGTTATCTGTTTTCTGGTTATGTTGTGGTCTGCTCTTCTTTCTTTCCTTCCTATCTTTCTTTAGTGAAGGTTATTTTCTCTGGTGATATGATATAGTTTCTTGCTTTTTATTTTTTTGTGTGTATCCATTGTATTATGTTTTTTGATTTGCGATTACTATGAGGCTTGCAAATACTATCTTGTAACCCATTATTTCAAGCTGATAGCAACTTAGCACTGTTTGCATAAGCAAACAAACAAGCACAAACACTAAACAAATGAAGACTCTACACCTTAACACCATCTTCTCAGTTTTTAACTTTTTGTGTCACTATTTATATATCATTGTGCTGTCTATATCTTCAAAGGTTGTGGGAACTATTTTTTTTTGTCAGTTCATGATTTAATTTTTGTACTTTAGCGAGGTTTACACACCACATTTACAGTGTTATACTAGTCTGTGTTTTTCTGTCTCCTTACTATTACCAGTGAGTTTTATAGCTTTAGGTGATTACATATTGCTCATTAATGCCCTTTTCTTTCTGATTGAAGTAATCCCTTTAACATTTCTTATAGGACAGATCTGGTGTTTATGAAATCCCTCAGCTTTTGTTGGTTTGGAAAAGTCTTTCTCTTTCATGTTTGAAGAATATTTTCTCCAGTAACACTATTCTGGGCTAAAAGTTTTTTCCTTCAGCACTTCTAATATGTCATGCCACTGTCTCCTGGCCTTTTTCCACTGAGAAGTCTGCTGCCAGATGTAGTGGAGCTCCATTGTACATTATTTGTTTCTTTTCTTTTGCTGCTTTAGAATCCTTTCTTTATCCTTGACCTTAGGGAAATTGATTATTAAATTCCTTGAGGTAGTCTTCTTCAATTTTACCTGGCATTGTTTGTTGAGAAAAACGATTAATTCCTTTCGAATTGCAATAGTACCTTTTTTTGAAAGCAATTGACCATGAATGTTGGTGTTAGTTTCTGGACTCTCAGTTGTGTTTCATTGTTCTTTTTGTCTACTGTAATGTGAGTTCTATAGAATCCTGATTAGGGCAGCTTTGAAGTAAGCTTTGAAATCAGAAAGTATAATCCTCCAAATTTCTTATTTTTTAACAATTTCTTTTTGTGATCTTGTCACTTGGCATTTCCAGATATATTTTAGGAGTGGTTTTCCAATTTCTGTGAAAAAAGTCTTCTGGGATTTGGTAGGGATTGCACTGAATATATATAAGTTGACTTTTCACCTATAAAGACTCTCCTTGTGCTGAATTTCAGTTCAGCTGGTCATCGTTGCTTGTACAACTCTGTGATGAATTGAAAATATAATTTTGGCCTTTTGTTTCTTTTATCCTAGTTGTTGGAGACGGATGTCATGCCTTTCTTAACCTTGTGTGTTCTGCTCAAAAATGGAGGTTCTCAGCCAGGTGTGGTTGTTCATGCCTGTATCCAAGCACTTTGGGAGGCCAAGATGAGGGGACCACTTGAGCACATGAGTTGAAGACCAGACTGGGCAACATAGGGAGACTCTTTGTCTCTATAAAAAAATAAAAAAAAATTATCTGGATGTTTTGGTGCATGCCTGTAGTCCCAGCTACTCCAGAAGGTGAGGTGGGAGGACCACTTGGGCCCAAAAGTTTGAGACTGCAGTGAGCTGTAATCAAGCCACTGCACTCCAGCCTGGGTGACAGAGCAAGACCCTGTCTCCCTCCCTCCACCCAAAACAAGGAAGTTCTCACTGGTATCTTTTATGTATCAAGTAACACATGATCATATGAAAAATTAATAATCCTTGATTCCTGCCTGTACCAGAAGGTAAAATTGAAAGCAGTTATACAAATAGTATATTAACTCCTCAGAAAGACTATCCAAAGAGAATATTATTATCATCTGTATTTTACAGATGATTATACCAAGGCAGAGAGTAGTTGTAAAATGAGGTCTGTCTGGAGCATACCTATATGAAGCAGAAAATCTGGTTTCCTGTCTTGGCAGTCTGACTCCAAAATCCTCTCTTAGAAACAATTATACTGTAAAAATGAAAAATAAATAAAATCCAAGATTGGAGACTGATTTTAACATCTATTCATCTTAAACCATTAAGTAATCAAAAATAAATTAAGCAGAGGAAAACAAAACCAAATATTCATATAGAAAGAAGTCTAGACTCTTCAATGGAAAACGTGTTTTTCAAGTGACCCCCAATAGTTACACAATTGCTGAGCATTTTAATTAAACAATAAATATTTAAGTATTAACTAGACTCAAGAGAATAACTTAGTGAAAGGCCCAAGCATGAGTGGTAAGTTTGATAAATATTGAAAATGGGTCAAAAAGCCCAAATGGGAAAATAGGGCTATTTCCACCTGGATGATCTCCCTAAAATTAATTTTCCATTTTGGAAATTATAGGACAATAATTCCTCCTATTCATGAGGGGTGAGTATGTGTGTATGTGTGTGAGTGTGTTTGTATTAATGAGCTTGTTAACAATAAGTTATACAAAAGTATTACTTAGTAGCAACCAGGTTTTAAGGACTATTGGCCTTTTTGAGGTTCCTAAGAAAACCTTGAATGCTTTTGGTAGGAAAAGTTGGGATTCACTCTACATATTACTGGCATTGAAAAAAAATAAATCTACTTTGGTGATGATCCTAGCTATCCTCAAGCTCCATTCACCAGGCTATACAACCAATGTGTCATATATGTATTGGGTTGTAAAATATCTCTAACAACTGAAGTTGCTGAAAACAAATTATGGAGAGGTGAAACAAGGAAAAAATTGCAGAACAATTAAAAAACTCTTCCTTGGCATGCTAGTATATGAGAATTCAGCTTTCACTTCAACATCAATATGGAAAATTTTACCTTACAGCAAGGATGTTGTGTTTGAATAGGAGTTAATTTGAGCTGTTTTGGAAATTATCATGTTTTCCATAAAGACAGCATTGATTTCATCCATTAGCATATTGAGATGATTTCCTGTTTGACGTTGGTCACAGAATTTAAAAGGAACAAGAACATTACTGCACATTCAGGAATCAGTTACACATAGAAGTTAAGGTCAGGACCTTAAAGGGAATCTTGACCAGTGATATTAGGCCTACTTTTTAAAACATTCAGACATGATAAATTTACTACCATTCATTTTTTCAATAACAGCAATGATATATTTATTTTTCCCATGGACACCTACATTAAGCTTGTTGTCTATTTTTATATTTCAACATTTTTGTCTTTGAGTCCTTTTAGGAGTTGTTAAACAATCCTGAAATTTCCCTTACAGTGCTGTTAACAATTATATTTTTTCAAAGTCCTTTGGCATAATGATTGATTAAAGGAAATATCTCCAGTATAATTACACTTGCTTATAAGAAAAGAGTATTTGAAACTTGAAGAAAAAAAGGTTAGACAAATTTATAATGAAATATAAATAAATATGTATAATATATAAGGCATTATTAATAAATGTATATGAAATAACTATCATAGAATGAAATTTATTGAAGTAAAAATACATTCTAAATTAGAATAGGAAAGAACTTGGAAACTATTGTTTAATAATATGTTTTATAAATACAAAACTGTAAATATTACTCTTACGTTACTTATTTTGGAAAGGATATGAAACAATGGGAATTTTCATATTCTACTCCTAGGATGATAAATCTGTACCATCATTTTGGCTGAGTATGGCATTATCTGATTAAGATGAAGGATCACATCCTAAACCCAGTATTTACACTCTTATCCGAATACATATACATGCACATGCGTATCACTGAGTTTCAGTAGCTAAAGTTGAGAAGTACTTGGAATGTCTGTCAGTCCTCCAAATGGATAAACAAATTATGGCATACTTATACAATGGAATACTATACAGTGATCAAAATTAACAAAGAAGACTGACATGTTTACAACAGGATAATACAACAAAGGAAATGAACAAATTTGAGCTACATAGATAATAATACTCACAGATGTGAAAGGAATTATCAAGATGGAAAAATACATTTAGAATGATCTTTTACATAAAGTTTGGAAAAAAAATTTTTAATACATTGTAATTTGTTACATTGGTGATGAAACTCTACAGTGAAATATATGAATGATCATCATAACAATTGGGATAATCAGGAGGGAGGAAATAAAAGGGAAATACCAACAAGAAGACGTATATTGGGAGTATCTGGATTGCTGGCAAATTCTATTTTCTGACCAAGGTTTGGTAACATCAATGTTAATGTTATAATTTTTTCTTACTGTTTTTAGGTTTTATTACTCTCTGTATGTTATATTCCCCAATAAAAAAATGTTAAAAAAGCAAAAACATAAGTACATTTCTACGTATAAATTCAGGGTGATACAGCATATTCTCATAGATACCATTGTAATTAGAGTTTTTGCTGAATAAAGGAGAATAGAGCATTATGGTACTAAGAAATACAAGTTAAAATTTAAAACTTTTTTTATTTTGAGACAGGGTCTTGCTCTGTTGTCCAGGCTGGAGTGCACAAGTGCAATCGCGGCTCAATGCAACCTCTGCCACCCGGGCTGAAGTGATTCTCTCAGTTCAGCCTCCAGAGTAGCTAGGACAACAGGCGTGCACCACCACGCCCTGCTAATTTTTTCTATTTTTGGTAGAGATGGGATTTTGCCATGTTGCCCAAGCTGGTCTTGAACTCCTGTGCTCAGGCAATCCACCGCCTCAGCCTCCTAAAATGGTGGGATTACAGTTATGAGCCACCACACCTGGCCCAAAAGTTTTCTTAAATTAATTAAAAAAGAAGATAAGCAAGAACTGTAAATCCACCTTCTTAATGCTAATATGAATTTGAAACATCAAAATTTGAATATTTATGATTGCTAGACACCTTTATTCTTATTTCCAATTTAATTATTCATAATTCACATTTCAGTGTCAGAAAGTCATGAATTTCCAATAAACTATAGTAAGATGGGTATTACATATATAGACCTATTATGCCAAAATGTGTCTCTAAATGAAATATGTATATTCATATTGTTAGCATTCTAATTTCACAATACTATTCATGTGTACACCTGCATTTTGGGTTAAATATTTTGTTACTATATATTTTTTGGTTCTGCATTAGAGAAGAAAAATCATAGGCAAATTTGTTAAGGTGTAAAACATATTTAGTATGATCTTTGAGTATGTTTGTGCATATATAATGCTACTTTGACTGCTATAGTAAGATAACAGATTTAGTCACCATAGCTAAGAATGTGAAAAAGCATTTACAAGAATTTGGCTTGCTAATGATGCTATTAAAAGATGAAATAAAATTGATATGCTGTATATTGCATAGAGTATTTGTCTATTTTCATATTGAAAACTGCACAAAAAAACCCAAAATAGAATCCTAATTGTTGGAGATCACTTTTGCTATGAATTTTTAAAGTGTAATAAAATAAAAAAAGCAAATAAATCATTGAAAATACATTGGTTTTACATTATTCTTGATGAAATACCACGTGAGGGTATTTGCCTAGGCCTGATGCTGAGAATAATATAAGAATCATGAGGCCATGAAGAAGAATAATATTGTTCTCTCATTACCTTGAAGTCTAGTACTTAAAAAACAAGACTGAAATCACATTTATCAAATAGCATTCTCCCTTTTACCTGCCATCATCATTATCATTATCTATATCCACATCTATCTCATTAAATGATTTATTTTTGAAATATTTAAACACATAATTTGGAAAATAAGTAATTTTAAAAAGATCATAATTATTGGAAAGTTACAGGAGTAAACAGCAAAGTTTAAGTCAAGCTCAATACACTTAGATTTAGAAATTAAGTGTAGTTTATTTTACAATACATTGCTTAAGCAAATAATTATTTATGGATGAGCTTAAACTAATCCTCTTTTCACTATGATCACTATGGAAACAATTTAGATTTTAATGGAACTAAACCTCCCTAGTAAGAAAGACAAAGCAAATAGCACATTTTATGAGCAAGCTTATATTTCTAAAGAGAGAGTTTTAGGACCAGATTGTCAAACAGAGGTAAGACCTCAGATCTTCTGTCACACTTGAGTGAGTGATGATGGAGTTTGAAGGTTATAGTTCTGTAACCAAAACTATATTCACGGATAGGGATTAAATGGTGGAATTCCTTAGAAGCACCAGATTCAGTTTTGTTTCCATGGGAATAAAAGTTCTTCAATGTTTGATAAACTTGTAAGTACTGTTTTACTCTTTGATCTTTTAAAGATTGTTATAAATGAAGAAGCCTTGATTTCTGCTTATAAAAACAGAGTAAAATTTAAATCGTGGAATAGATTGGTGGAGCTGTGGTTGAGATACTATATTTTATTAATTGTAATGACATTTTGAGATCTAGTGCTGCTCACTGAATTTCCCTATAAGGTGAGTTTGTGGTGATGACCCAGCAACAGACAAGCTACTATCCAAAAAAAGCTACTCACATCAAATCAATTTCCGGTTTCTTCCAAGTTGCAGGAGAATGCCTAGACCATGATTTTAATCTCTTCTGTGACCTTTGTATTACAAAAAGAAGAAAATTGTGACCATTTTCATGTCAGGTATACGAAAAATTTATAAAAACTCCTTTTTAAAGAACTTGTGAGTAGCTTCACTATGCCTGGCTAACATTTTCATTTATTGTAGAGGGAGTTTCGGTGTATTGCACAGGCTGGTCTTGAACTCCTGGGTGCTCCTGCCCCAGCCTTACAAAATGTTGGGATTATGGGTGTGAGCCACCCTGCCTGGCCAATAAAGAGACTTATTGAAAATATTAAGTTGAATATGCAAGAAGGAATACAAATTAATGAAAGTGGTAAATATGTGCATAATTGTAAATGAATGTTTACTGTATAAAATAATAATGTCTTGAGGGTGATTATATAATTGATAAGACATATGCAAATGGCAAAAAATAGACTGGAGGTAAAGGTGACAGGAGTAAATTTACTTGAAGTAGTTTTTGAACTTTTCTATGTCTATGAGGAGATTTTGAACAATGACCCTGTAATTTTACCCAAAGGTATATATACAGAGGAATTGCATCAAATGATATATGAAAGAATTCTCTAGTAGAATTATTCATAACTTCAAAAAAGAAGCTGACCAAATGTACATTAAGGATGGGTGAATCATTACATTAATTCCATGCAACGGAACAATATAGAGAAGTGAAAAAAAACCACATGTACTTGCAACTATGTGACTAAATTTCAGAAACATAATGTTGAGTCCAAGAAGCCACAAACAACAAGAACATGTAGGAATGCACCTACACAGAGTTCAAAGCAGGCCAGACCAAGCTATGGAGTTTAGGGTTGCATACCTAGTTGGTAAAGTATGAAGAAAATTAAGGAAATAATCAATATAAATTATGGATATTGCTTATCTCAGGAGATGTGAAGAAGGGTTTAGGGGGTTGGAAAGTGGCATGGAGGTGGACCTAGGCTGTTTTCAGTGTTCCTTGTCTTGCTCCACATAATGGTTACTTGAATGTTTATGATACACTGCGGTATTTCCCATTTTTGTTTTGGTTCATTTCTAAGTGTGCATTATAATTTTAACATAAAAAGTTTTAATTAGGAGAAACGTCTCATAGAAATTATTACTCGTCTCATTATATACTGAGGGGAAAAATAAACTATTGGTATACATTCTTATACAACTCTAAGAGAGTTGAAGTAAGAACTTTATTTAGTTGCAACATGAGGAAATTTGAGATGATTTTATTTGCCACCCCAGATTTTTCCAAAGGATTTCTTCTAGCCTTAATTATCCACCTCACATGAACAAATCTTTGCCATTCCCCATCTATTTTTTCTTTTGGCTCCTGAATTCCTGACACAACAAGGTTGTACACATTTCCCACACTCTTGGTTTAGCAGAGTTCTTTTATCAGTTATGTTTTTCTGCAAGAGAAACCCTTCAAAACTACATTGGATAGCTCTGGTGACTTGAGATGGGCCAAATTCTGCATCTTGGAGGTCGTTAGAGTTTGGCCAATTTAGTCTGGATCAGGTGGGGGGCAATCTGCCTTCATTAGTTTCTGATTATCCTTCTGGGAACAGTGTACTAGCCAGGTGATATTCTCATAGTAAATGGAAAGAGGAAGAACACCCAGTATGGAAGCCATCTCAAATTTCTATGCAAAGTGTATTAATTTTTTGTTCATCAAAGTAAGTTAAATGATTGAACTTCAAGTTCAGGGGAAAGGTAGTCAGTCTTCGTGTGATGGGAGGATACTGCAAGATTATATATCAAAGGGTCTGGTACTCAGGAATACTTATAAAATTGCTGAACATTTTAATTAAATAATAAATATTTAAATATTAGACTTGAGAGAAACTTTACCAAAGGCCTAAGAATTAGAGATATGTTTGATAAATAAACATTATTCATGGGCTGAAAACCTTGAGTGGGAAAATAGGACTAATTTCACCTGGACAACCTCCTGGAAACTGATTTTTTATTTTGGAAATTATGAGAAAATAATTCGTTCCATTCATAAGTGGTGTGCACATGTGTGTGTTTGTGTGTGTATTTATGAGCTTGTGAATAATGAAGTTACACAAAAGTATTAGCAGCAACCAGATCTTATGGAGTATTGGCCTGCCTGTGGTTCTCAAGTAAATCTTAGATGCTTTTGATAAAAGCAGTTTGGATTCTGTGTATTTAAATCTGGCATTTAAAAAAGTCCGTATTGGTGATGATCTTAGTTATGATCAAGCTCCCTTTAAGATTTTAGACATTTACTATACGATCTACATATCAGGTTATAAAACTTCCCAAGCAACTGAAGTCGCTAAAGACAAATGATGGAGAGGTTACACAAGGAAAAATTGCAAACACTGGAAGTGAACATGTCCTTGTTTGCATACTAGCAAATGAGAATTCAGGTTTCATGTCAATTTCAGTATGAATAATTCCAGCCTATAACAAGAACAGATGGTGAATGAGTCAGTTAATTTGAATTGTTTTGAAAATAAGAATGTTTTCCATAAAGAGAGCATTGAACTTATCCATTAGCATGCCATGGTGATTTCTGACTTGACACTGGTCACAGCAATTAAAAGTAAAAAGAATGTCACAGCACATACACAAATCAGGTGCATATAGAATTTAAGGTCAGGATATTCAAGCAATCACAACCAGTGATATTACACCAGCATTTTAAAAATTTCTTTTTGTCTGTTCAGACATGATAACTTTTCTGCCCATCATTTTTTCCATTCTAATAGTGGTTATATTTGTGATTGGAAATTTTGCTAATGGCTTCATAGCATTGGTAAATTCCATTGAGTGGGTCAAGAGACAAAAGATCTCCTTTGTTGACCAAATTCTCACTGCTCTGGCGGTCTCCAGAGTTGGTTTGCTCTGGGTGTTATTACTACATTGGTATGCAACTCAGTTGAATCCAGCTTTTTATAGTGTAGAAGTAAGAATTACTGCTTATAATGTCTGGGCAGTAACCAACCATTTCAGCAGCTGGCTTGCTACTAGCCTCAGCATGTTTTATTTGCTCAGGATTGCCAATTTCTCCAACCTTATTTTTCTTCGCATAAAGAGGAGAGTTAAGAGTGTTGTTCTGGTGATACTGTTGGGGCCTTTGCTATTTTTGGTTTGTCATCTTTTTGTGATAAACATGGATGAGACTGTATGGACAAAAGAATATGAAGGAAACGTGACTTGGAAGATCAAATTGAGGAGTGCAATGTACCATTCAAATATGACTCTAACCATGCTAGCAAACTTTGTACCCCTCACTCTGACCCTGATATCTTTTCTGCTGTTAATCTGTTCTCTGTGTAAACATCTCAAGAAGATGCAGCTCCATGGCAAAGGATCTCAAGATCCCAGCACCAAGGTCCACATAAAAGCTTTGCAAACTGTGACCTCCTTTCTTCTGTTATGTGCCATTTACTTTCTGTCCATGATCATATCAGTTTGTAATTTGGGGAGGCTGGAAAAGCAACCTGTCTTCATGTTCTGCCAAGCTATTATATTCAGCTATCCTTCAACCCACCCATTCATCCTGATTTTGGGAAACAAGAAGCTAAAGCAGATTTTTCTTTCAGTTTTGCGGCATGTGAGGTACTGGGTGAAAGACAGAAGCCTTCGTCTCCATAGATTCACAAGAGGGGCATTGTGTGTCTTCTAGCAGAAAACAAACTGGTGGTGTATGAAACATTTTATATTTCTTACTGGGTTTTCTGTAATATATGTATATGAATAATTTCCAAATGTATACCTAGAAAAGTCTTTTACCTAAAGTTAGTCTAGAAAAGTATATATATATAGATGTGTGTGTGTGTGTGTGTGTGTGTATGAAAAACTGAAGAACATTGACAATAACAGGCTTTTTATTGTTTTTTCACAAAAACTGCCAAATTATAGAAAATATGACAAAAATTCCTCAATTATGAAGCCATGTTTATTTCATACATGTATTTTATATTTCATTTGTAGAATTTATATCTATTTATAATTATTAAGAACTAACAGCTTATCTCAGGAAAAATATTGCTCTTTTCTATTGTTATTTGAATGACACAAATATACCACAGTGTGCTTACAATCTGTTGTTTTAACCTATAACTTTTTGATAATAAGGTCGTTCAATTCTTAATCACTAATGAGGATGTATCTTCAGGGTTTTATTCCATTATGAATTCCTATTTTATGTTTAGTAAAAAGCAATCAGAATTATTGTTACAAAACAATGAACACAATAAAATTTGAGTGACAAGTATATGTAGAGTAAATTTCATGTATGTGTACCATAAACAGTACTGAGGAATATTAGATTTAATACAAGTATGTGAATAGCTTAGAAAAAAATCTCTGCTATAAGAGGTATGAAAAATCATGATCATGATCTTGATTGCTATTATCAGCTTCCATATGCAGTTAGAAAAGTCATTTCTTCCAGCTTTTCAATTAAAGAAAAACTTTTTTTGAAATTGAGCTCTGATGTAAATTATTTTAGTATTTTTTCTAAAGCACTTCTAAGCCCCTGAATTGCTAATTATATCCTTATCTTCCATTTTTAAAATTCTTTCTAAACTTCAGATAAGAGAACTCCAGTCTTCCGTTTTCTAAAAAAAAATCTGTCAATGTGAAAATAGTATAAAAATTATGGAAAATAATTCAGTGAAACTTTTTTTAAGTGTTAAAATAGTATCTATGAAATCTATGTATTAATTATGGGATTTGTCCTAGTGTAATTTTGTTGTCAATGATTAAATGGAATTGTCTTGACATATTCATTAATAGGAAGTTCTATTATAAGAAGGAAATGTACAGTCTTGTTTACAGCTAAATTCTACATGACTGTATTAATTCTTGGTGTTATGAAATTTTAACAATGTTGTTCAGACCTTAAGATAAATCATCCCCACACCTGATTCATGTATTTTTTAGAATCATGTATCTTCCTCAGTACAATGTAAGAACTATAAAAGAAGAGATCGTGTCTGTCAGGCTTTCTGTTGACTCCCAGGACCTAGAACCCAGCACAAGGAATAGATGGTCAAAAATGATATTTTAATGAACAAATAAATGGGTGGATAAAATGGGTAAGCTGATGTGGTAAACCAATGAAAAGGAAACTCATCACAAAATCTGCAGTTGCATGAGTTCCCCTGTTCTGGTCTCAGGTTAAGATTACAGGCTTATCCAAGCAGAATCCTTCCTCAGAGGAAAAGTTTGGCTATTCCACAATTTTAGGGGAAATATCACAATAATATAGTCTTGATGCAGCTGTATCAGGTGTCTGAATTGGAGACAAGGTAGAACATCAAAATTAGATGCCACTATTACAATATTTTAAAAAAGCATATAAAAGACTTTGGTCTATTTGCGTATGTATTTTTTTCTATTGTGAATTATATATTTGTATTATGATATTTTCTAGTTGATTATCATATAAAAATGGCATTTCATTTCAAAAAATTGAGTTAGTAACCAGCTACTTTACTAAAATGTTTTTAACGTAATACCTGATATTAAAGTGATGACATTTATATGGAAGGCCAATTCAAGACAAAAATGGCAGGGACATGTGGAAATTGAGACAAGAACGGATGTGAAACAATGTGTGGTGATGTCTGGTATGACTCTGCTGGCAGCCACTTCACAGTGAGGTGAGAGAGACAGCATGGTGGTCATCAGATGCATGCACTTGACTCCCAGAACTTTTCCAGAAGGGCTACAAAGGGAAACGACAGCTGGCATTAGTCCATGGAAGAGAGAGAGAGGAGGGAGAATGTATCTGCTCAGCTGTTGTTAGTCTTCTGTTTCCCCTTGGCCAGGGTTTCCCTGAGTTAGAACTACCATCTCTGTTGTTCTGTCTTACATCATCCAGTCCCTTGGTGGTGGTCATGAAAGTCAGACCTCATGCCCACAGTGTGGTGATGCATTCAAGTCCCAAATGGAAGGATGATCTGGATCAGGCAAGGTGCTGACCAGGGGAACAGGAGATAGTGAAGGGAATCTGAGAAAGCACATGTTTGTGTCCAATACCACCACTCCTTGTGCCACTGAGACGTGCTCATACCCTCCAGTCATGGCTGGCTTTATGAGCATATGACTTGCACAGTTGTACAGGGTTTTGTGCTTATAGGGGCTTGTGCTTAGAGTGACTCTATGCTTGGATTAATGTTCTGCACTTGCTGTTTGGCTTTTCAGACAGAGTATACTTCAGCATTCCCTCTGCTGAAGAGGGAATGGTCTTACACTGGTCTTACACTGATTCCATAGGGATTTGCTCTCCCCTCTCCTACAGGCTTGTCAGAGACATGCACAGAGTCCTATAATGCCCACTATGCATGCCTCTAGCAGCTTTGAATTCCGCTGGATCATCTGGCACAGTGGCCAGAGCAGCTTGGACCAGAGCCTATATCTTCTGTAGAGCCCTCTTTAGTTCTGGGCTCCATTTGAGACCAGTAGCCTTTAGAAACATCGTTCGTGAGTCAGAGCAATATTCTCAAATGTGGAATATGTTGTCTCCAAAATCCCAGTAGGCCCCCAAAACATAGTGTCTCTTTTGTAGTGATAGGAAATATACAGAGAGAGCAAAATGCCGTTTACTGTAAAAAAGATTGTCTCAGCATGTGGACTAGGGACACCAAAAACCTTAAAACGTCACCTATGTTGTCGGTCCCTGAATCTTCTCTGATTTATCTATTTTCTTCTGGTATTTTACTTCTGCTCAATGTTATAATATTTTACTATACTGAAGAAACTTGCCATTTCCTGATTATTGTACCAACTAATATATTATTATTGGTATTATTTTGAGACACGGTCTCTTTCTGTCCCTGAGGCTGGAATGCAGTGGCAGGATCACAGCTCATTGCAGCCTCAACCTTCTGGGCACAAGTGATTCTCCCACTTCGGCATTGCTGGCAGCTGGGACTGCAGGGGCACAACACCATGCCTGGCTAATTTTGGTATTTTTTGTAGGGCTGGGATGTCACCGTGTTACCCAGGCTGGTCTCAAACTCCTGGGCTCAAGTGATCTGCCTGTGTCGGCCTCCTAAAGTGCTGGGATTACAGTCATATGCCACAGGGCCCGGTCTGTAATATTATCAATACATTAAACTGGCAGGATGTTTTAAAAAATGTAAATTAAACTGAGAACAGAAGTGACATAGCCCTGACATACAACAGTGAAGCAGTGCTATTATTCTTACAAGGCAAATTGTTTTGATTTTCCCTCATAATGGGTGTAGATTAAGAACCATTCACCAAATCACTAGCCCCACAAAAAGTACCAGAAGCTCTGCTCTGCTCGGTGAAGATAGCACATCCTGGAAAGCATTTGTGAGTGTTGATTTAAGTTTATGGTAGTCTGCATTCATTCGATAACCCATCTGGTTTTGGTAGAGGCCAGATAGGTTAAGTGAATCGGGTTATAGAAAAGACTACCATCCCCTGTAACTTTCAGGTGTTTTGTCATGACAGTGACCAGTTCCATTCCTTAGGGAATGCGGTTATTATATTTTATATATTTTGTTGCCAGTAGAGGAGAATTTCAGAGGCTTTCCCTTGGTCCTGCTATAATAATGTTCCTTACTCTACAGTTCACGAAGAATGTGAGAGTCCTGCCAGCTGCCATACGTATCCATTTCAATTCAGGAACAGGTAATAACTACAAACTGATTAGATCCACCTTGGGATGGACATGAGCCGAAGCTCTAGGTAGCATCTGACCTTCAAAACTCCCACTGCGGGCTGGATGTGATGGCTTATGCCTGTAGTCCTAGTACTTTGGGAGGCCAAGGTGTGAAGATCCTTTGAGAGCAGGAGTTCCCTGTGCATCATATGGAAACTCCGTCTCTACAAAAAATTTTAAAAATTACCTGGCATGGTGGTACATGCCTATAGTTCCAAATACTTGAGAAGCTGAGGCAGGAGGATTGCTTGAGCCCAGGAGTTCCAGGCTGCAGTGGGCTATGATTGTGCCACTGTACTCCAGCTTGGGTAACAGAGGGAGATGCTGTCTCAGAACAAAAAAAAAGGTGGAAGTTCTCACTGGTGTCAAATATCAAGAAAAACAGGATCAAATCAATAAGTAACAATCTTTGGTTCCTGCTTATAGCAAACAGGTAAAATTGAAAGTAGTTACAGAAATAGTATATTAACTCCTAACAAAACTAACCAATGAAAGTTTTATTATCATCTCCTTTTTGTTGTTATTTTGAGACGGAGTCTCGCTCTGTCTCTCAGGCTAGAGTGCAGTGGCGTGATCTCGACTAACTGTAACCTCTGCCTTCTGGGTTCAAATGATTCTCCTGCTGCAGTCACCGAGTGGCTCGGATTATAGGTGCGTGCCACCACCACCTGGCTAATTTTTATATTTTTAGTGGAGACAGGGTTTCACCATGTTGGCCATGCTGGATTTGCACTCCTGACCTCAGGTGATCCACCTGCCTTGGCCTCCCAAAGTGCTGGGATTACAGCCATGAGCCACTGCGCCCGCTTTTTATAGGTGATTATACTGAGGCAGGAGTAGTTGGAAAATGGAGTCTCAGAGCATAGCTATACCAAGCAGGGAATATGATTTCCTGTCCTGGCAGTCTGACTCCAAGATCCCCTCTTAGAAACAGTTATGCTATAAAAACTGAAAAGAAACAAAATCCAGGATTGGAGACTGATTTTAACATCTATTCATCATAAATCAATAAGTAATCAAAAATAAATAGAGAAAAGTAAAAGTGAATATTCATACACAGAGAAGTGTAAATTCTTCTATGGAAAACATGTTTTTTTAGTGCCCAAGGAATAGTTATACAATTGTTGAGGTTTTTCTTTTTCTTTTTCTTTTTTTTTTTTTTTTTTTTTTGAGACTGAGTCTCGCTCTGTCGCCCAGGCTAGAGTGCAGTGGCGCCATCTCGGCTCACTGCAAGCTCCGCCTCCTGGGTTCACACCATTCTCTGGCCTCAGCCTCCCCGAGTAGCTGGGACTACAGGCGCCTGCCACCATGCCCGGCTAACTTTGGTTTTGTATTTTTAGTAGAGACGGGGTTTCACCGTGTTAGCCAGGATGGTCTCGATCTCCTGACCTCGTGATCAGCCCGCCTCGGCCTCCCAAAATGCTGGGATTACAGGCGTGAGCCACCGTGTCCGGCCAAAATAGTTGAGTATTTTAATTAAATAACTAATATTTAAGTATTCTCAAGAGAATAACTTAGTTAAAGGCCTAAGCCTTAGAGATTAAGTTTGATAAACATTGAAAATGGGCTGAAAAGCCCGAGTAAGAAAATTAATTTTCATTTTAGAAGTTATAGGACAGTAATTTTTCCAAACCATGAGGGGTGTGTATGTGTGTGTGTGTGAATGTGTTTGTGTTAATGAGCTTGTTAACAATAAGTTGTACAAAATTATTAGTTAGCAGTAACCAGTTTTCAAGGAATATTGGCCTTCCTGGGCTTCCCAAGAAAACCTTGGACACTTTTGGTAGAAAAGTTGGGATTCACTCTCCATAAATCTGGCATTGAAAAAATGATTCAACAGTGGTCATGATTCTAGTTTTGACCAAGCTACATATAACAGTGTAGGCATCCAATGTATGATTTATGTATTAGGTTGGAAAATTTCCCTAACAACTCACATTGCTGAACGCAAATTATGGAGACACTAAACAAGGAAAAAATTGCAAAATGATGATTAAGTGTATGACTTGATTTGCATGCTAGCAAATGAGAATTCAGCTTTCACATCAACATCAGTATGAAAAATTTTATCTTATAACAAGCATATAGTATTTGAATAGGAGTTAATTTGAGCTGTTTTGGAAATTATCCTGTTTTCCATTAAGACAGCCTTGAACTCATTCAATAGCATTCCCCGGTGCTTTCCTGTTTGACATTAGCCAGAGAATTTAAAAGGAACAAGAACGTTATTGCACAGTCAGAAATCAGGAGCACATAGAAATTAAGGTCAGGACCTTAAAGGGAAACTTGTCCATTGGTATTAGGCCTGCCTTAAAAAATGCGGACATGGTATGTTTACTACTCATCATTATTTTCCATAACAGTAATGGTAGAATTCGTATTTTCCCATGGGCACCTTCATTAGGCTTATAGACTATTTTGATATTTCAACATATTATTTTCTTTGAGTCCTTTTAATGAGTTGTTAAACAATGCTAAAATTTGCCTTACAGTATACTGTTAACTAATCATATTTTCCCAAAGTCATTTGACATAATGTTTGGTTAAAGGAAATATGTCTAGTACAGTTACACTCTAGGATTGTAATCCTAGAATTGTAAATCAGTGCAATTACTTTGAGTATGGCATTATCTGATTAAGATGATGGATCACATCTGAAGACCCACTATTGCACTCTTATCAGAATACATATACACACACATGCATATCACTGAGTTTTAATTGCTAAAGTTGACAAGTCTCTCAAATGTCCATGGGTGATAAAATGGATAAATAAATTATTGCATACTCATACAATAGAATACTATACAGCAATCAAAATGAACCAACTAGAGAGACGTTTATAAAGAATGTTAATAAAAAGGAAAATGAACAAATTTGCACTACATAGATACGAGAGATATTAAGATGGAAACATGATTCCGTATAATTACATTTATATAAAGTTTACAAAACTATATTTTTAATGAACTGCAATTTATTACATTGTTGTCGAAATTCTAAAGTGAGACCCAAGAGTGATTATTGTAACAACTGGCACAGTAGGGACGGAGGAAACAAAAGGGAAATGATATCAACAAGAAGGTGTATATGGGGAGTGTCTGGATTGCTGGTAAATTCTACTTCATGACCAAGATGTGGTAACATGACCCTTAATGCTATAATTTTTTTCTATACTGTACCTTCAGGCTTTATTAATTTATATATATGTTATGTTTCATAGTAATGAAAATATTTAAAAAGCAGAATCATATAATAAATGAATGAATATAAAATAGGCTGAAAAAACATTCTTGTAGACACCATGGTAATTAGAATTTTTGCTGAATAAAGAAGAATAGAGCATTATGATAGTAAGAAATCCAAGATAAAATTTTAAACTTTAAATTAATTTTAAAAAGGAAGAGATAAACAGGAAGTCTACCTCCACACTCTTAATGTTATTCTTATTTTGAAACATCAGATTTTGCACATCTGTATTTTGCTAGACACCTTTTTTTCTTATTTCCAATTTAGATATTTATGATCACAACATTTCAAAGTGGCAGAAATTAGTGAATTTCCAATATATTATAGTAATATAGATATTAAATATACAGGACAATTTTCTAAATTTATCCCTAAATGAAATAATAATACACATATTTTTACCATTCAAAGATTATAATACCATGCATGTGTACACATGTGTGAGGAAAAATATTTTGATACTACAAATTTTTTGAATATTACAGGAGAATTAGTAGAAAGATAATTTTGTTAAGGCATAAAACATATGTAGTATAACTACTTGGACTGCTATAATAAAATCACCCAGATTTTGTGACAGTAGCTGAGAATGTAAATAAGCAGTAGAGAGAATTTAACTTGTTAATGATGCTATTAAAAGATGAAATGAAGCTTATTCACTCTATAATTGCAAAGAGTATTTGTGTAAGTTCATAGGAAAGTGGAACAAAATTAAACAGCCAACAAGAGAGTATTCTTTGCTGGAGGTCAATTTTACTGTAATTTTTAGAATGTGGTAAAAGAAAAAAAATAGCAAGTAAATCATTGGAAATGTGTCGGTTTTGTATTATTCTTGACGAAATATTATGTGAGGGTATTTGTCTAGGCCTGATGCTGAGAATAATACAAGAATTGTGCCGGGCATGGTGGCTCATGCCTGTAATCCCAGCACTCTGGGAGACCGAGGCTGGTGGATCACCTGAGGTCAGGATTTCCAGACTGGCCTGGCCAATATAGTGAAAACCCATCTCTTCTAAAAATACAAAAATTAGCTGGGCGTGATGGCGGGCACCTGTAATCCCAGCTACTTGGGAGGCTGAGGCAGGATAATCAATTGAACCAGGGAGGCAGAGGCTGCAGTGAGCCAATATTGCGCCATTGCACTGCAGCCTGGGTGACAAGAGTGAAACTCCATGTCAAAAAAAAAAATCGTAAATCCATGAGAAAGAATAATAGTGTTCTCCCACTACCCTTAACTCTAGTACATTGAAAAGAAGACCCAAATCACATTTATCAAATAACATTCTCCCTTTTAGCTGACATTATCATCATTATTATAATCATCTACATTTACATCTATCTTATTATATGATTTATTTTTGAAATATTTACATACATAATTTGGACACCGTTTACATAAGTTCTAAGAGATATCATTGTGGGAAATTTACGTTAGTAAACAGCAAAGTTCAAGTCAAGTTGAATACATTTAGATTTAGAAAGTTAAGTGTAGTGCAGTTTAAAATACATTGCTGAAGAAAACAATTATAGATGATATTAAACTAATCCAAGGAACACTATAAAAAGATTTTGATTTTAGTATAAATAAAATTGCTTAATAAGAAAAATAAATAAACCATTTCATGATCAAGCTCTTATTTCTAAAGAGAGGATTTTAGGGCTAAACAAATCAAATAAGCCCTCCCCCACATCTTCTCTATTTCATGTAGGTAAGGATGGAGTTCAAAGGCACAGAGCCCCATTTCTACAACATAAGCAAAGTGAAAATTAATTCATGGAATACAATGACATAGCTGTGGTTGATGAACTATATTTTATCTATTGCAATGATATTTTGAAATGCAGTGCTACTCATTGAGTTTCCTTGTGAGGAGATTGTGTGGCGAGGACCCAGCAAGACAAGCTACTATCCCAAAAAAGCTACTTATATGAACTTCATTTCTGGTTTCTTTCAAATTGAAGGTAAATTCCAAGATGAAGCTTTTATTCTATTCTCTGACCAAAGTGTTGGGAAAAGAAGGAATTTGTTACCATTTTCATTTCTAACATACTAAAACAGAAAACAAAAAACCCCAAAATCAAAAACACTTTTAAAAAGAACATGCCGTTAAGATTAGTTTGTTCAGTTTCCCTGTAGAAAATAATTTATGGAAAGATAATAAAAGATTATTCTGAACACTAAAACAAGAAAACTAAAAAATGAATTATCAATATTGAGAATCCAATAGACAGAGTTAACCAGTTAGATGGAGTAGAAGAGATAATTAGTGAATTGGAAGATAGCTACAAAGAATGAAGCACTGAGAGAAAGATGGAAAATATAAGACTAGAGGGTAACAAATTCATGCTACAGTTGGAATATGTAACATACTTCTGGAGTTCTGTAAGATTAGAGGAGAGAAAATAGAGCAAGAGAAAATACAAAGTTGTACTGAAAATACAAAGTTGAACATGCAAGAAGCAATAAAATTAATGACAATGAAAAATAAGTGTGTAATTCTAAATAAATGTTGCCTGTAGAAAACAATAGTGTCTTGTTGGATTAATTGTATAATTGATAAGATATATGCAAATAGCAATAAGGAGACTGGAGACAAAGTGACAGGAATAAATTTAGTCAAACTGTTTTGGGCTTTTCTATGTCTGTGAGTAGAATTTGAATATCATAATCCAGGACCGTATAAATCTACACCCAGATATATATACACAAAGGAATTGTAGCAAATGATATGTGAAAGAATGTTCATTGTAGCATTATTAATAATAGCTCAAAAATAAGCTGCCCAAATATATATCAAATAAAGATGGATAAATAATTACAGTAAAATCATAAAATGGAAAAATATACAGAAGTGAAAATAAATGAATCACATGTACATGCAACCATGTGATTAAATTTCAGATACATAATGTTGAGTCCAGGAAGCCATGAATAAGGACATATAGGATTGCACCTATACACAGTTCAAAGCAGACCAAACGAAGCTATTGAGTTTAGGGTTGCATGCTTTGTTCGTAAAGTACAAAGAAAATAAAAAAAGATCATTATAAATTATGGATGTACTTATCATAAGAGGTGTGAAGAAAGGTGTAGGGGATTGGAAAGTGGCATTGAGGTAAACCTAGCCTCTTAGCAATGTTCCATGTCTCGCCCTACATAATGGTTACATGAGTGTTTATGATACATTGCTATGTTTTCCATTTTTGTTTTGGCCCATTTCTAAGTGTGTAGTCTAGTTATAAAAATTATTAATTAGGAGAAATTTTCCATGAAAATTATTATTACCCTGCTCATTATATACTGAAGGGAAAAATCCACTATTTGTATACATTCATGTATAACTCTAAGAGATTTTAAGAAGAAACTTTCTGATTTTAGTTGCAACTTTTGGAAATTTGACATGATGTTTCCTGCCAACCCCGGATTTTTCAACAGGTTTTTCTTTTAGGTTTAATTATTGACTTCATATGACAAAACTTTGACATTCTCCAACTATTTTTCCCTTGTATCCTGAATTCCTGACACAACAAGTGTGGACATATTTCCCACACTTTTGGTTTAGCAGAATACCTATGTCACTTATGTTTTTCTGCAAGAGAAAATCCTCCAAAACTACATTAGATATTTGTATCTCATATGTCTTTGGATTTCATTTTTCTAAGCTGGGTTTGATGGATGGCTGTGGTGATTGGAGATGGGCCACGTACTGCATCTTGAAGATAGAGTTTGGATGATTTAGGCTAGATCAGGCAGTAGCATTCTGACTCCATTAGTTTCTCATTCTTCTTCTGGGAACAGTGTAATAGCCAGATGATGTCCTCATGGTAAATGGAAAAGAGCAAGAAACTCCAATGTGGAAGCCATCTTAAATCTCTGTGTAAAGTCTACTAATTTCCTGTTCATTGAAGCAAGTTACAGGAGTGCACACGCATATATATATGTGTGTATATGTGTGCATGTGTATGAATAACAACACTGACCATAAATTATGAAGCCGAGTACATTTCACATATATATGTATGTTTATTATATGATAGTTTATTGTATGATATTTCATTTGAAGAATTATCTCTATTTATAATTAAGAACATATAGCTTTTATCAGCAAATTATTGCTGTTTTCCATTGTAATTTGTACCACATGTATGAACTTAACTATCATTGTTTGAACATCTAATTTTTTGGATGGTAAAGACATTCAACTCTAAATCAATGAGGAGAATGTATCTTTGGGGTAGGTTTTATTTCATTATGAATTCTTATTTTATGTTGTTGTTAGATAATGATGCACACAATTAAATTTGAGTGACAAACATATGTAGAGTAAATTTTGTATATATATACCAAAAACAGTACTAAAGAATACTAGATTTATACCAGTATGTGAATAGCTTAGAAAAAAAATTCGTTTGTATAATAGGAATGAAGAAACATAATCATGATCATTTCAGTGCTGTTATAATTTTTTATGTGTAGTTAGAAAAGAGATTTCTTCCACTTTTTAATTAAAGAAAGCCTTTTTTGAAGTTGACATCTGATGTCAAGTATTTCCATTTAATTTGCTTAGCCACCTCTGAGCCCCTGAATTTCCAATTATCTCCTTTGTCTCCCATTCCTAATATTCCTCAAAAAAATTCAAATATTCCTTCTCTTAAAAAAAACTCAATGTAAAGAGGGTATAGAAACTATGGATCATAACTGAATGAAACATTCTGCAAATATTACAAATTATCTGTCTAATCAATATATTGATGATAGGAAACGTATTAATGATATGTTTTATTGGGGGTGGGCAGTGAGCTGAGGATCCTCAGGCATCTCTATTTTTATTTTGTTTCTCTACGTAGTTTCTCCAGCATTTGGCTCTAGGTGCCAAGGGCACATGTGACAAGAAGGTGCCAGCTTTATAAACCTTGTAACTTCTTCTGTGTCAGTTCTGAGACATACAATTTACTAAAACACATCATGAAGGCCTGTTTTGAAGAGAAGGGGAATAAGACTGCATCTGTTCATATGAGGTATGTCGAAGCACTTGGATATGTTTTCAAACCACCAATCTTGATGATTTAGAAATGTGCTCCCTTTTCCAATTTCATCCTGATAAAAATGTATGATCTCTGGACGTTGCCAATATTCCCCTCCATTCCATCATGAGCCGTTCTCTGTAATTCAGAATCTGTGGACTAAGCTGTAAAACTAATGACTGTCAATCTATTCTACATGAAATAGTGGGCCAAAGAAAAAGGAAAACATGATAAGCAGTAAAAATATATACACAACATTTTTTGCTTACACTAATGATCAAATAACACCCATAGGACCAAACCTCCCACAGATACTTTCTATAAATTCTGGATAAAATATTTAAAAAAAAAACAGCCATCTGAAGGCAATGGAGAATGAACAAAATAGGCCGATACTGAAAAGCAGTTGACACTTGGAAGAAGGAAATAGCAAGGAGTGAGTTTCCTGATTTTATAGCTGGCCCTAGTGTGCACCAGGCAGAGGACTAAAACGTCAGTAAAAAAGCTGTAGAGTTACTGGGTTGAAGTAACAGAGGACTGAGTTTAGGGTAACATGAGCCGCAGGAGGTCAGGAGAAAATCTGAGAAAGGAGAAGTCCAGAAAAGGGGAGCCCCAGCTTCTGACTATAGACTATCCAAAGCTTTGTCTGGTCCCTACACCACACATGTATAGGCAGACTTCATGAAGCCCAGCTAAAATAATAAAATTGATTTCAGTTATCATCAAGCACAGTGAGGACAGAAATAGCAACAAAACACATTACTTTAGGCAAAGATACTCTTTTCTTGAAAACCCAAACTACATTCCATTACCTTTCATAACAGTCATATTCCTTGTCCATTCTTGTTTCTACCATGGTTCTAACTCCTACTTTTATTCATTACATTAATCAAAGTAATTCTCTTTCAAAGAGGAAACTGGAAGTTATGTAATTGAGGACTATTAAAAATAAGTATTTTGGCAGATGTGCAAAATTCTCAAGCACATATATTACAACTTTCTATAGTCATATATATCCTTTTTACACTTGCTTGAATTGGCATACAAAACTCCCATGTTTGTTAATGTAATCCAAACAAATAGCCAGTCCATAAAATATAAAAGTTACATTTAGTTATTTATTTATATAACCCGTGATTGGTGACCACATTTCAGTATTCCATCTTAACTAGTAATTATCCAAAGATTTTCATGAAGTCACTGAATCTAATATTAGTCTAAGGTCTTGAACTAGGAATCTTGGAAATTAAATTTAAGACAATAGGCTACAGAAAATAATTACTGTCAATATGTGGAATTTTTCATAATTTGTATTCAGTTTGTTTGAAAACATAATTTTACATTTTTTGGTATTTTAACATTATGTGGGCATATTAGTTTACCTTATCAGTAAACAGGTATGGGAAGTTTAGGAATTTCTTTTTTTTAAATGTATTTTTAAGTTTTGTGGATATATAGTAGGTCTATATTGAGTACACGGGATGTGTTGATACAGGCATGCAAAGAGTAATAATCACATAAGAATGGGGTAGCCATCCCCTCAAACATTTACTCTTTTTTGTTACAAACAATCCAGTTATACTCTTTTAGTTACGTTAAAATGTACAGCTAAATTATCATTGACTATAGTCACTCTGCTGTGGTATCAAATAGTAGGTCTCATTCACTCTTTCTATTTTTTTTTTTGGTAGCCATTAACCAGCCACACCTTCCCTTTAGCCCCCACTACCTTTCCTAGCCTTTGTTAACCATCTATGTACTCTCTATGTCCACGAGTTCAATTGTTTTGATTTTTAGATACCACAGATGAGTGAGAAAGTGCAATGCTTGCCTTTCTGCACAAACATTGCAGTTATTTTTTACTTATTCAACTTAACATAATAATCTCCAATTCCATCCGTATTGCTGCAAATGACAGGATCTCATTTTTTAAATGGCTGAATAGTACTCCACTGTGTATATGTACCACATTCTCTCTCCCTCTTTTTTTTTTTTTTTTTTTTTGAGATGGAGTCTCGCTCTGTCTCCAGGCTGGAGTGCAGTGGCGCAATCTCAGCTCACTGCAACTTCAGCCTCCCAGGTTCAAGTGGTTCTCCTGCCTCAGCCTCCTGAGTCGCTGGGACTACAGGCGCCAGCCACCACGCCCAGCTAATTTTTTTGTATTTTTAGTAGCGATGGGGTTTCACCATGTTGGCCAGGATGGTCTCAATCTCTTGACCTCATGATCCACCCACCTCGGCCTCCCAAAGTGCTGGGATTACCGGTGTCAGCCACCGCCCCCGGCCATACCACCTTCTCTTTATCTATTCATCTGTTGCTGGACACTTTGATTGCTTCCAAATCTTGGCTATTGTGAACAGTGCTACAACAAACATGGGAGTGTGGATACCTGTTTGATACACTTACTTCCTTTCTTTTGGGTATATACCCACCAGTGAGATTGCTGGATCATATGGTAACTCTAATTTTAGTCTTTTGAGAAACCTTTAAACTGTTTTCCATAGTGGTTTTACTAATTTATATTCCCACCTGCGGTGTACAGTGGTTCCCGTTTCTCCACATCCTCACCAGCATTTGTTACTACCTGTCTTTTGTATATAAGCTGTTTTAACTGGGATGAGATGATATCTTATTTTAGTTTTGATTTGCATTTCTCTGATGATCAATGATGTTGAGCACCTTTTCACATGTCTGTTTGACATTCGTATATCTTGTTTTGAGAAATGACTATCCAAATATTTCACCCATTTTTTTGATCAGATTGTTAGATTTTTTTTCCTATACAGTTGTTTAAGCTCCTTTTATATTCTGGTTATTAATCCCTTGCCAGATGAGTAGTTTGCAAATATTTTCTCCTATTCTGTGGATTGTCTCTTCACTTTGTTGATCATAACTTTGCTGTGCAGAAGTATTTTTTAACTTGATGTGATCCCAATTGTGCATTTTTTACTTGGTTGCCTGTACTTGTAGGGTATTACTACTTAAGAAATTTTTGCTCAAACCAATGTCCTGGGGAGTTTCTCTGATGTTTTCTTATGGGAGCTTCATGGTTTGAGATCTTAATCATACATCTTTAATCCATTTTGATTTGATATTTGTATAGATATATGGGCCTAGTTTCATTCTTCTGCATATGGATATTCAGTTGTCCCAGCACCATTTATTGAAGAGACTGTCTTTTTCCAGTGTATGTTCTTGGCATCTTTTTCAAAAATGAGTTCACTGTAGGTGTGTGGGTTTGTTTCCGAGTTGTCTGTTCTGTTCCATCGTTCTATGTGTCAGTTTTAATGCCAGTACATGCTGTTTTGGTTTCTGTAGCCTCAGTAGTAAGTATCATATGAAGTCAAGTAACATGATTCCTTCAGTTTTGTTCTTTTTTCTTAGGATAGTTTTGGCTATTCTGGGTCAGTTGTGGCTCTATATAAATTTTAGGATTGTTTTCTCTATTTCTGTGAAGAATGTTTTTGGTATTTTGATAGGAATTGCATTGAATCTGTAGATTCTTTGGGTAGTATGGCCATTTTAACAATGTTGATACTTCTAATCCATGAACATGGACTATCTTTTCTTTTTTTGGGTGTCCTTTTCCATTTCTTTCATTAGAGTTTTATAGTTTTCATTATAGAGCTATTTCATCTCTTTGGCTGAGTTAATTTTCAGGTATTTAATTTTATGTGTGACCTTTGTAAGTGGGATTACTTTTTTGATTTTGTTTTCAAATTGTTCACTATTGGCATGTAGAAATACTACTAATTTTTTATGTTAATTGTGTATTCTGCAAATTTACTGAGTTTGTTTATCAATTCTAATAGTTTTTGGTACAGTCTTCAGGTTTTACAAATATAAGATCATATTGTTTACAAACAAGCATAATTTGACTTGTTCCTTTCCTATGTGGATGCTCTTTATTTTTCTTGAGTGATTGCTCTAGCCAGAGCTTCTACTATTATGTTGAATAATAGTAGTGAATGTGAGCATTCTTGTCATGTTCCAGATCTTAGAGGAAAGCCTTTTAGTTTTTCCCAATTTAGTATGATACTAGTTGTGGGTCTTTTTATGTGATTTTTATTATGTTGAGATTTTCCTTCTATATCCAGTTTTCTGAGGGTTTTTATCATGAAGGAATGTTGAATCTTATCAAATGCTTTTTCAGCATTAATTAAAACGTTTATATGGTTCTTGACCTTCATTCTGTATATATGATGTATCACATTGATTGATTTGTGTATGTTGAACTATCCTTGCATCCTAGGGATAAATCCCACTTGTTCATGAGGAAATATCTTTTTAATGTATTATTTAATTTGGTTCACTAGTATAGTATTGAGACTTTGGAATCAATATTCATCAGAGATATGTGCTTGTTGTTTTCCTTTTTAGATGTGTCTTTGTCTGGTTTTGGTATCAGGGTAACAAGAATTTCAAGAATGAGCCTGGAAGTATTCCCTCTTCCTCTGTTTTTCAGAATAGTTTGTGTAGGATTGGTATCAGTTATTCTTTAAATGTTTGGTAGAATTCAGCTCTAAAGCCATCTGCTCCCAGGCTTTGTTTTTTGTTTTTTGTTTGTTTTGTTTTGTTTTGTTTTTTCTAAAGTGGGAGACTTTTTATTGCAGAATTAATCTCATTACCTGTTTTTGGTCTTATCAGGTTTTGGATTTCTTCATGGTTCAATCTTTGTAGGTTGTATGTGCCTGGGAATTTTTCCATTTTTTTAGAGATTTCAATTTATTGGCATATAGTTGCTCATAGTAGTCACTAATAATTCTTTGAATTTCAGTGGTATCAGTTGTAATATCTCTGCTTTCATGTCTGATTTTATTAATTTTGATCTTTTTTTCTTAGTCGGCCTGAACGTTTGTCAATGTTGTTTAACTTTTCAAGAAAACAGGTTTTTGTTTCATTGATCTTTTGTATTGTTTTCTTCATTTCAATTTCATTTATTTCTGCTGTAATTTTTATTATTTGTGTTCTTCTACTAATTTTGGGCTTGGGTTACTCTTGTTTTTTCAGTTATTTAAGATACACATTTAGGTTGTTTATTTCAAGTTTTTCTTCTTTTCTGATGTAGGCCCTTATAGCTATAAATTTCCTTCTTAGTATTGCTTTCGCTGTATTTCATAGATTTTGGTATGTTGTGTTTCCACTATCATTTGTTTCTAGCATTTTTTCAATTTCCTTTTAAATTTCTTTGATGACCTACTGGTCATTCAGGAGCATATTGTTTCATTTCCATGTGTCTGTATAGTTTCCAAAATTCCTCTTGTTATTGAGTTCTAGTTTTATTCCATTGTGGTCAGAGTTGATGCTTGGTAATATTTCAATTTTTTGGATTGTTCAAGACTTGTTTTGTGATCTAACATATGGTCTATCCTTGAGAAAAATCCATGTGCTGAGGAAAAGAATGTTTATTCTGAAACTTTTGGATGAAATGTTATGTAAATATCTGTAATCAATTTGTTCTATACTGCAGATTAAGTCTGATGTTTCTTTGTTGATTTTCTGTCTGGAGGATCTGTCTGATGCTGAAAGTGGAGTGTTGAAGTCTCCATCTATTATTGTATTGAGGCTTTCTCTTTGCTTTGGTCTAATAGTATTTGCTTTATATATCTGGGTGCTCCAGTGTTGAGTGCATATATATTTACAATTGCAATATCATTTTGATGAATTGACCCCTTTATCATTATATGGTGACCTTTATCTCCTCATAGTTTTTGTCTTGAACTCTATTTTGTCTAATACTTGTATAGGTACTCCACTTTTTTTGGCTTCCATTGCCATGAATTATCTTTTTCCATCCCGTTGTTTTCTTTCTGTGCATGTCTTTATAGACAAAGTGTGTTTCTTAGAGGCAACAGATTGGTGTTTTGTTTGTTTGTTTGTTTTTCCATTTAGCCAGACTATGTCTTTTGATTGGAGAGTTTAGTCCATTTACATTCAATGTTAGTATTGGTAGTTAGGACTTACTTTTGTCATTTTGTTATTTGTTTTCTGGTTATGTTGTGGTCTGCTCGTCTTTCTTTCCTACCTTCCTATTTTTCTTTAGTGAAGGTTATTTTCTCTGGTGATATAATATAGTTTTTTGCTTTTTATGTTTGTGTATCCATTCTATGCTTTTTGGTTTGAGATTACCATGAGGCTTGCAAATACTACCCTCTAACCCATTATTTCAAGCTGATAACAACTTAGCACTGTTCGCATAAGCAAACAAACAAGCACAAAAACAAAACAAATGAAGACTCTGCACCTTAACTCCATCTTCTTCATTTTTAACTTTCTGTTTTCACTATTTATTTCTTATTGTACTGTGTATGTATTCAAAGGTTGTTGTGGCTATTATTTTTTTAATTATACTTTAACTTCTGGGATACATGTGCAGAACGTGCAGGTTTGTTACATCGGTGTACATGTGCCATGGTGGTTTGCTGCACCCATCAACCCATCATCTACATTAGATATTTCTCCTAATGCTATCCCTAGCCCCCCTCACCCTAAAAGGCCCAGTTGTGTGACGTTCCCTGTGTCCTCCCTGTGTCCATGTGTTCTCATTGTTTAGCTCCCAATTATGAGTGATAATGTGGTGTTTGGTTTTCTGTTCCTGTGTTAGTTTGCTGAGAATGATGGTTTCCAGCTTCATCCAGGTCCCTGCAAAGGACATGAACTCATCCTTTTTTATGGCTGCATAGTATTCCATGGTACATATGTGCCACATTTTCTTTATACAGTCTATATTTGATGGGCATTTGGGTTGGTCCCAGGTCTTTGCTCTTGTGAACAATGCTGCAATAAACATACATGTGCATGTGTCTTTATAGTAGAATAATTTATAATCCTTTGGGTATGTACCCAGTAATGGGATTGCTGGATCAAATGGTATTTCTGGTTCTAGATCCTTGAGGAATCACCACACTGTTTTCCCCAATGGTTGAACTAATTTGCACTCCCACCAAGAGTGTAAAAGCATTCCTATTTCTCCACCTACTCTCCAGCATCTGTTGTTTCCTGACTTTTTAATGATCACCATTCTGTCATGAGATGGTATCTCATTGTGGTTTTGATTTGCATTTCTCTAATGAGCAGTGATGATGAGCTTCTTTCTTTCCCATATTTTCTTGGGCACATAAATGTCTTCTTTTGAGAAGTGTCTGCTCATATCCTCCACCCACTTTTTGATGGGGTTGTTTGTTTAATAGATTGCAAAAATTTTCTCCCATTCTGTAGGTTGCCTGTCACTCTGATGATAGTTTCTTTTGCTGTACAGAAGCTCTTTAGTTTAATTAGATTCCATTTGTACATTTTGTCTTTTGTTGCAATTGCTTTTGGTGTTTCAGTCATGAAGTCTTTGCTCATGCCTATGTCCTGAATGGTATTGCCTAGCTTTTCTTCTAGGGTTTTTATGGTTTTGGATATTACATTTAAGTTTTTAATCCACCCTGAATTAATTTTTGTATAATGTGTAAGGAAGGGGTCCAGTTTCAGTTTTCTGCCTAAGGCTAGCCAGTTTGCCCAACACCATTTATCAAATAGGGAATCCATTCCCTCACTGCTTGTTTTTTGTCAGGTTTGTCAAAATCAGATGGTTGTAGATGTGTGGCATTATTTCTGAGGCCTCTGTTCTGTTCCATTGGTCTATATATCTGTTTTGGTACCAGTACCATGCTGTTTTGGTTACTGTAGACTTGTAGTATACTTTGAAGCCAGGTAGTGTGATGCCTCCTGCTTTGTTCTTTTTGCTTAGGATTGTCTTGACTACACGGGCTCTTTTTTGGTTCCATGTGAATTTCTAAGTAGTGTTTTCCAATTCTTTGAAGAAAGTCAATGGTATGAAATGTTTTTCCATGTGTTTGTGTCCTCTCTTATTTCCTTGAGAAGTGGTTTGTTGTTCTCCTTGAAGAGATCTTTCACATCTCTTCTTAGCTGTATTCCTAGGTATTTTATTCTCTTTGTAGCAATTGTGAAATGGAGTTCACTCATGATTTGGCTCTCTGTTTGTCTGTTATTGGTGTATAGGAATGCTTGTGAATTTTGCATGTTGATTTTTTATCCTGAGACTGCTGAAATTGCTTATCAGCTTAAGGAGATTTGGGGCTGAGATGATGGGTTTTTCTAAATATACAATCCTGTCATCTGCAAACAGAGACAGTTTGACTTCCTTTCTTTCTATTTGAATACCCTTTATTTCTTTCTCTTCCTGATTGTCCTGGCCAGAATTTCCAATACTATGTTGAACAGGAGTGGTGAGAGATGGCATCCTTGTTTTGTGCCGATTTTCAAAGGGAATGCTTCCCGTTTTTGCCCATTCAGTATATTGGCTGTGGGTTTGTCATAAATAGCACTTAATATTTTGAGATACATTCCATCAGTACCTAGTTTCTTGAGTGTTTTTAGCATGAAGGCATGTTGAATTTTATCAAAGGCCTTTTCTGCATCTGTTGAGATAATCATGTGGTTTTTGTCATTGGTTCTGTTTATGTGATGGATTATGTTTATTGATTTGCATATGTTGAACCAGCCTTGCATCCCAGGGTTGAAGACGACTTGATCTTGGTGGATAAGCCTTTTTATATGCTGCTGGATTTGGCTTGCCAGTATTTTATTGAGGATTTTCGCATCGATGTTTATCAAGGATATTGGCCTAAAATTTTCTCTTTTTGCTGTGTCTCTATCAGGTTTTGGAATCAGGATGATGCTGGCCTCATAAAATGAGTTAAGGAGTAGTCCCTCTTTTTCCAGTGTTTTGAATAGTTTCAGAAAGAATGGTACCATCTCCTCTTTGTACCTCTGGTAGAATTTGGTTGTGAGTATGTCTGTTCCTGGACTTTTTTTGGTTGCTAGGCTATTAATTACTGTCTCAGTTTCAGAACTTGTTATTGGTCTATTCAGGGATTTGACTTCTTCCTGGTTTAGACTTGGGATGTTGTATGTGTCCAGTATTTTATCCATTTCTTCTAAATTTTCTAGCGTATTTGCATAGAGGTGTTTATAGTATTCTCTGATGATAGTTTGTATTTCTCTGAAGTCAGTGGTAATATCTCCTTTATTATTTTTTTATTGTGTCTATTGGATTATTCTCTCTTTTCTTCTTTACTAGTCTGGCTAGCTGTCTTTCTATTTTGTTGAACTTTTCAAAAAACCAGCTCCTGGATTCATTGATTTTCTGAAGGGTTTTAGGTGTTTCTATCTCCTTCAGTTGTGCTCTGACCTTAGTTATCTCTTGTCTTCTGCTAGCTTTTAAATTTGTTTGCTCTTGCTTCTCCAGTTCTTTTAATTGTGATGCTAGGGTGTCAACTTTAGATCTTTCCCACTTTCTCCTGTGGGCATTTAGTGCTATAAATTTCCCTCTAAACACTGCTTTAGCTGTGTCCCAGAGATTCTGGTACATTTTGTCTTTGTTCTCATTGGTTTCAAAGAACTTATTTATTTCTGTCTTAATATCGTTATTTACTCAGTAGTCATTCAAGAGCAAGTTGTTCAGTTTCCATGTAGTTGTGCAGTTCTGAGTGAGTTTCTGAATCCTGAGTTCTAATTTGATTGCACTGTGGTATGAGAGACTGTTTGTTATGATTTATTTTGTTTTGCATTTGCTGAGGAGTGTTTCACTTCCACTTATGTGGTCAGTTTTAGAATTAGTGTGATGTGGTGCTGAGAAGAATGTGTATTCTGTTGATTTGAGGTGGAGAGTTCTGTAGATGTCTATTAGGTCAGCTTGGTCCAGAGCTGAGTTCAAGTCCTAATATCCTTGTTAATTTTCTGTCTCATTGATCTGTCTAATATTGACTGTGGGGTGTTAAAGTCTCTCACTATTATTGTGTGGGAGTCTAAGTCTCTTTGTAGGTCTCTAAGAACTTGCTTTATGCATCTGGGTGCCCCTGTATTGGGTGCACATATATTTAGGATAGTTAGCTCTTCTTGTTGCGTTGATTCCTTTACCATTATGTAATTCTCCTCTTTGTCTTTTTTGACCTTTGTTGGTTTAAAGTCTGTTTTATCAGAGTCTAGGATTGCCACCCCTGCTTTCTTTTGCTTTCCATTTGTGTGGTAAATATTCCTCCATCCCTTTATGTTGAGACTATTTGTGTCTTTGCACATGAGATGGGTTTCCTGAATACAGCACAACAATGGGTCTTGACTCTATTCAATTTGCTGGTCTGTGCCTTTTAATTGGGGTATTTTTCCCATTTACATTTAAGGTTAATATTGTTATGTGTGATTTTTTTCCTATAATTATGATGCTAGCTGGTTATTTTGCTTCATTAGTTGATGTAGTTTCTTCATAGTGCCAGTGGTCTTTACAATTTGGTGTTTTTCTGAAGTGGCTGGTACTGGTTTTTCCTTTCCACATTTAGTGCTTGCTTCAGAAGCTCTTGTGAGGCAGGCCTGGTGGTAACAAAATCTCTTAGCATTTGCTTGTCTGTAAGGATTTTATTTCTCCTTCAACTATGAAGCTTTTTGGCTTGCTATGAAATTCTGGGTTGAAAATCCTTTTCTCGAAGAATGTCCCCACTCTCTTCTGGCTTGTAGGGTTTCTGCCAGGAGATCTGCTGTTAGTCTGATGGGCTTCTCTTTTTGGTGACTCAGCCTTTCTGTCTGGCTGTTCTTAACATTTTTTCCTTCATTTCAACCTTGGTGAATCTGACTATTAAGTGTTTTTGGGTGCTCTTCTCAAGGAGTATCTTTGTGGTGTTCTCTGTATTCCCTGAATTTGAATGTTGGCCAGTCTTGCTAAGTTGGGTAAGTTCTCCTGGATAATATCCTGAAGAGTGTTTTCCAACTTTGTTCCATTATCCCCATCTCTTTCAGGTACACCAGTGAATCATAGGTTTGGTCTTTTCACATAGTCCAATATTTCTTGAGGCTTTGTTTGTTCCTTTTCATTGTTTTTTCTCTAATCTCATCTTCATGCATTATTTCATTAAATTGATCTTCAATGTCTGATATCCTTTCTTCCGCTTGATTGGTTCACCTATTGATATTTGTGTATGCTTCACAAAGTTCTCATGCTGTGCTTTTCAGCTCCATCAGGTCATTTATGTTCTTTTCTAAACTGGTTATTCCAGGTAGCAATTGCTCTAACCTTTTTTCAAGGTTCTTGGCTCCCTTGCATTGGGTTAGACCATGCTTCTTTATCTCAGTTGAGTTTATTACCCACCTTCTGAAGCCTACTTGTGTCAATTCATCAAACTCATTCTCTGTCCAGTTTTGTTCCCTTGCTGGTGAGGAGTTGTGATCCTTTGGAAGAGAAGAGGCTTCCGGTTTTTGGAATTTTCAGCCTTTTTTGCCCTGGTTTTTCCTCATCATCATGGATTTTTCTACCTTTGGTCTTTGATGTTGGTGACCTTCAGATGGGGTCTCTGTGTGTACATCCTTTTTGTTGATGTTGATGCTATTCCTTTTTGTTTGTTGATTTTCCTTCTAACAGTCAGGGTCCTCTGCTGCAAGTCTGCTGTAGTTTGCTGGAGGTCCACTCCAGACCTTGTTTGCCTGGGTATCACCAGTGGAGGCTGCAAAACAGCAGATATTGCTGCCTGTTCCTTCCTCTGGAAGCTTCATCCCAGAGGGTTACCCGCCAGATGTCAGGCAGAGCTTTCCTGTATGAGGTTTCTGTCCACCATTGCTGGGAGATGTCTCCCAGTCAGGAGGCACAGAGGTCAGGGACCCACTTAAGGAGGCACTCTGTCCTTTAGCAGAGCTCAAGTGCTGTGCTGGGAGATCTGCTGCTCTTTTCAGAGTGTCAGGCAGGAAAGTTTATGTCTGCTGATGCTGCTCCCACAGCTGCCCCTTCTCCCAGGTGCTCTGTCCCAGGGAGATGAGAGTTTTATCTATAAGCCCCTGACTGGAGCTGCTGCCTTTCTTTCAGAGATGCCCTGACCAGAGAGGAAGAGTCTAGAGAGGCAGTTTGGCTACAGTGGTTGTGCAGAGCTGCTGTGGGCTCCACCCAGTTTGAACTTCCTGGTGGCTTTGTTTACACCGTAAGGGGAAAATTGCCTACTCAAGCCCCAGTAATGGCGGACGTCCTTCCCTTGACTAAGCTCAAGCATCCCAGGTTGACTTCAGACTGCTAAACTAGCAGTGAGAATGTCAAACCAGTGGATCTTAGCTTGCTGGGCTCCAAGGAGGTGGGATCCACTGAGCTAGACAACTTGGCTTCCTGGCTTCAGCCCCCTTTCCAGGGGACTGAATGGTTCTGTCTTGCTGGCATTCCAGGCACCACTGGGGTATGACAAAAAACTTCTGCAGCTAGCTTGGTGTCTGCCCAAATGATCGCCCAGTTTTATGCTTGAGACCCATGGCCCTGGTGGCATAAACACTGGAGGAAATCTCCTGGTTTGTGGGTTACGAAGACCATGGGGAAAGTGTAGTATCTGGGCCAGAATACATCGTCCCTCACTGCATGGTCCCTTACAGCTTCCCTTGGCTAGGAGAGGGAGTTCCCCGACCCCTTGCACTTCCCGGGTGAGGCAACACCACACCCTCCTTTGGCTCGTCCTCCGTGGGCTTCACCTGCTGTCTAACCAGTCCCAATGAGATGAGCCATGTAACTCAGTTGGAAATGCAGAAATCACCCACCTTTTGTGTTGATCTTGCTGGGATTTGCAGACTGGAGCTGTTCCTATTAGGACATTTTGCCAGCCACTCCACTATTTTTTTTCATTATTACTTCATCATTTAGTTTTTCTATTTAAGTGATGTTTATGCACCACATTTACAGTGTTATATTAGTCTGTGTTTTCTGTCTCCTTACTATTACCCGTACGTTTTATAGCTTCAAGTGATTACTTATTGCCCATTAATGTCCTTTTCTTTCTGACTGAAGTAATCCGTTTGAAATTTTTCTAGGAGAGATCTGGTGCTGATGAAATCACTCAGCTTTTGTTGGTCTGGAAAAGTCTTTATTTCTCTTTCACGTTTGAAGGATATTTTCTCCAGTTACACTATTCTAGGCTGAAAGTTTTCTTTCTTCAGCACTTTTAATATGTCATACCACTCTCTGCACTTTTAATATGTCATACCACTCTCTCCTGGCCTTTTTCCACTGAAAAGTCTGCTGCCACATGTAGTGGAGCTCCATTGTACATTATTTGTTCCTTTTCTTTTGCTGCTTTCAGAATCCTTTCTTTATCCTTGAGCTTAGGGAAATTGATTATTAAATTCTTTGAGGTAGTCTTCTTCAATTTTACCCAGCATTGTTTGTTGAGAAAAACCATTAATTCCTATCAAATTGCAGTAGTCCCTTTTTTGAAATCAATTGACCATGAATGTTGGTGTTAATTTCTGGACTCTCAGTTGTGTTTCATTGTTCTTTTTGTCTACCCTAATGCGAGTACCATAGAATCCTGATTCGTGCAGCTTTGAAGGAAGCTTTGAAATCAGAAAGTGTAATCCTCCAAATTTGTTATTTTTTAACAATTTCTTTTTGTGATCTTGTCACTTGGCATTTCCAGACACATTTTAGGAGTAGTTTTCCACTTTCTGTGATAAAACATCTGCTGGGATTTGATAGGGATTGCACTGAATATATAACTGCAATCTATAAAGACTCTCCCTGTGCTGGATTTCAGTTCAGCTGGTCATTCTTGCTTGTACAACTCTGTGACAAATTGAAAATATAATTTTGGCCTTTTATTTCTCTTATCTTAATTGTAGCAGAAGGTATCATGCTTTTCTGAACCTTGTGCATTCTGCCCAAAAATGGAAGTTCTCAGCCACGTGTGGTTGTTCACACCTGTATCCAAGCACTTTGGGAGGCCAAGATGAGGGGACCACTTGAGAACAGGAGTTGAAGACCAGACTGGGCAACATAGGGAGACTCTGTCTCAACAAAAAAATTAATAAATTAGCTGGGTGTTGTGATGCATGCCTGTAGACACAGCTACTCCAGAAGCTGAGGTGGGAGGACACAAATGTTTGAGACTGGAGTGAGCTGTGATCAAGCCATTGCACTCCAGCCTGGGTGACGAGTAAGACCCTGTCTTTCTCGCTCCCCTACCCCAAAAAAGAAGGTCTCACTGGTTATCTTTTATGTATCAAGTAACACACGATCATACAAAAAATTAATAATTCTTGGTTCCTGCCTGTACTAGACAGATAAAATTGAAAGCAGTTATACAACTAGTATACTAACTCCTCATAAAGACTACCTGAAGAGAATATTATTATCATTTGCATTTTACAGATGATTATACCAAGGCAGAGAGTAGTTGTCAAATGAAGTCTCAGACCATATTTGAAGCAGAAAATCTGCTTTCCTGTCTTGGCAGTCTGACTCCACAATCTTCTGTTAGAAACAATTATACTGTAAAAATGGAAAAGAAATAAAATCCAAGATTGGAGACTGATTTTAACATCGATTCCTCTTAAACCATTAAGTAATCAAAAATAAATTAAGTAATCAAAAATAAATTAAATAGAGAAAAATAAAACCAAATATTCATATATGAAGATCTAGACTCTTCAATGGAAAACGTGTTTTTTAAGTAGCCCACAATAGTTACACAATTGCTGAGTATTTTAACTAAAAAATTAATATTTAACAATTAAGTAAACTCAAGAGAAAAACTTAGTCAAAGGTCTCAGCATGAGAGATAAGTTTGAAAAATATTGAAAATGGGTTGAAAAGCCCAAATGGGAAAATAGGGCTATTTTTACCTGGATGATGTCCCTGAAATTAATTTTCCATTTTGGAAATTATAGGACAACAATTTCTTCTATCCATGAGTGAGTGAGTATGTGTGTATGGGTTTGAGTGTGTTTGTATTAATGAGCTTCTTAAGAATAAGTTATTCAAAAGTATTAGTAGCAACCGGGTTTTAAGAATTATTGGCCTTTCTGAGATTCCCAAGAAAAACTTGAATCCTTTTGCTAGGAAAAGTTTGGATTCACTCTACATATTACTCACGTTGAAAAATTAAATTTACTTTGGTGATGATCCTAGTTATGTCCAAGCTCCCTTTACCAGGTTATACAACCAGTGTGTCATCTCTGTATTAGGTTGTAAAATTTCTCTAACAACTGAAGTTGCTGAACACAAATTGTGGAGAGGTTAAACAAAGAAATAAGTGCAGAACAATTAAAAAACTCTTCATTGGCATGCTAGTAGATGAGAAATCACTTTTCACTTCAACACCAATATGGAAAATTTTATCTTACAGCAAGGACATTGTGTTTGAATAGGAGTTAATTTGAGCTGTTTTGGAAATCATCATGTTTTCCATAAAGACAGCATTGATTTCATCCACTGGCATATTGAGATGCTTTCCTGTTTGACATTGGTCACAGAATTTAAAAAGGAACAAGAACATTCCTGCAAATTCAGGAATCAGGTACACATAGATGTTAAGGTCAAGACCTTAAAGGAAATCTTGACCAGTGATATCAGGCTTGCCTTTAAAAAAATTCAGACATGATAAATTTACTACCAATCATTTTTTCTTCAACAATAATATATTTATATTTTCCCATGGACACCTACATTAAACTTATAGACTCTTTTTATTTTTCAACTTTTTTTCTTTGAGTCCTTTTAAGAGTTGTTAAACAATCCTGAAATTTCCCTTACTGTATGCTGTTAACTAATTATATTTTTTCAAAGTCATCTGACACAATGATTGATTAAAGGAAGTATCTCCAGTATAATTACAGTTACTTATAACAAGAGTATTTGAAATTTGAAGAAAAAGGTTAGACAATTTATAATGAAATATAAATAAATATGTATAATATATAAGGCATTATTAATAAGTGTATATGAAATAGTCATAGAATGAAAAAGATTAATGTAATTCATTGAAGTAAACATACATTCTGAATAAGAATAGAAAAGGACTTGGAAAATATTGTTTAATAATATTTTATATAAATACAAAAATGTATATATTAGCCCAACATTATTTATTTTGGAAAGGATATGACACAATGGGAATTTTCATACACTACTCCTAGAATTATAAATCTGTGCCATCATTTCGGCTGAGTATGGCATTATCTCATTAAGGTGAAGGATCATATCCTAAGATCAAGTATTTACACTCTTATCAGAATACATATACATACACATGCATATCACTGAGTTTCAATAGCTAAAGTTGAGAAGTCCTCCAAATGTCTCAGTCCTCCAAATGGATAAAGAAATTGTGGCATACTTATACAGTGGAATACTGTACAGTGATCAAAATTAACAAACAAGACTGACATGTTTACAACAGAATAATACAACAAAGAAAATGAACAAATTTGAGCTACATAGATAATAATACTCACAGATGTGAGAGGAATTATCAAGGTGGAAAAATACATTTACTGTAATCTCATCGACGTAAAGTTTGAAAAACTTTATTTTTAATACATTGTCATTCATTACATTGGTGATAAAACCCTACAGTGAAACATATGAGTGATCATCATATGAGTGATCATCATAACAATTTGGGATAGTCAGAAGGGAGGAAAATATCAACAAGAAGACATATATCGGGAGTATCTGGATTGCTAGCAAATTCTATTTTCTTCCTTTTTTTTTTTTTTTTTTTTTTACTCTTTCATTTGGATCTTATCTGTGCGAAGTATCTTTGACTGTGTTGGTCACCGTTGAATCAAATATCTAAATAAAGTGAATCTGGAACATCCTAGTGTCCACATCAAAAGCACTCAATAAAGTTGGATGGGGGAGTGGTAGTGGTGGTACAGCAACAGGGTAGCCTAGTTAGGTTGCACAAGCCCATCTAAACATGTGTGATTATCTGATTAGAACCAGGAAACTGGTTACTAGAAAAAGTAATTTAGTGAACTGTAGAAAGAAAATATTACATATTGAAGCACCTCACAATGACTTAACACCAATTTTATTTGAGGAATTTCTTTAGTGTTAAAATACAGTAAACAGCCACAGTAACAGTAATACCACTAACATTCTTGAGCATTTATTGTGTGCTTAGAAATTTGTGTATGAATTCATTTAATATAGTCCTATGGCTTAACACGAGATTTTGTTCATTTTTTTAATATTTTATTTATTTATTTATTTTTATTTTACTTTAAGTTCTAGGGTACATGTGCACAATGTGCAGGTTTGTTACATATGGATACATGTGCTTGTTGGTGTGCTGCACCCATTAACTCGTCATTTACATTAGGTATATCTCCTAATGCTATCCCTCCCTCCTCCCCCCACCCCACAACAGGCCCCAGAGTGTGATGTTCCCCACCCTGTATCCAAGTGTTCTCGTTGTTCAGTTCCCACCTATGAGTGAGAACACGTGGAGTTTGGTTTTCTGTCCTTGTGATAGTTTGCTCAGAATGATGGTTTCTAGCTTCATCCACGTCCCTACAAGGGACGTGAACTCATCATTTTTTATGGCTGCATAGTATTCCATGGTGTATATGTGCCACATTTTCTTTATCCAGTCTATCATTGATGGGCATTTGGGTTGGTTCCAAGTCTTTGCTATTGTGAATAGTGCTGCAATAAACATATATGTGCATGTGTCTTTATAGCAGCATGATTTATAATCTTTCGGGTATATATCCAGTAATGGGATGGCTGGGTCAAATGGCATTTCTAGTTCTATATCCCTGAGGAATCGCCACACTGTCTTCCACAATGTTTGAACTAGTTTATAGTCTCACCAGTAGTGTAAATTTTTCCTATTTCTCCACATCCTCTCCAGCACCTGTTGTTTCCTGACTTTTTAATGATTGCCATTCTAACTGGTGTGAGATAGTATCTCATTGTGGTTTTGATTTGCATTTCTCTGATGGCCAGCGATGATGAGCATTTTTTCGTGTGTCTTTTAGCTGCATAAATGTCTTCTTTTGAGAAGTGTCTGTTCATATCCTTCACCCACTTGTTGATGGGGTTGTTTGATTTTTTTCTTGTAAATTTGTTTAAGTTCTTTGTAGATTCTGGATATTAGCCCTTTGTCAGATGGGTAGATTGTAAAAATTTTCTCCTTCTGTAGGTTGCCTGTTCACTGTGACGGTAGTTTCTTTTGCTGTGCAGAAGCTCTTTATTTTAATTAGATCCCATTTGTCAATTTTGGCTTTTGTTGCCATTGCTTTTGGTGTTTTAGCCATGAAGTCCTTGCCCATGCCTGTGTCCTGAATGGTATTGCCTAGGTTTACTTCTAGGGTTTTTATGGTTTTAGGTCCAACATTTAAGTCTTTAATCCATCCTGAATTAATTTTTGTATAAGGTGTAAGGAATGGATCCAGTTTCAGCTTTCTACATATGGCTAGCCAGTTTTCCCAGCACCATTTATTAAATAGGGAATCCTTTCCCCATTTCTTGTTTTGGTCAGGTTTGCCAAAGATCAGATGGTTGTAGATGTGTCATATTATTTGTGAGGGCTCTGTTCTGTTCCATTGGTCTATATCTCTGTTTTGGTACCAGCACCATGCTGTTTTGGTTACTATAGCCTTGTAGTATAGTTTGAAGTCAGGTAGCGTGATGCCTCCACCTTTGTTCTTTTGGCTTAGGATTGTCTTGGCAATGCAGGCTCTTTTTTGGTTCCATATGAACTTTAAAGTAGTTTTTTTCCAATTCTGTGAAGAAAGTCATTGGTAGCTTGATGGGGATGGCATTGAATCTATAAATTACCTTGGGAAGTATGGCCATTTTCATGATATTGATTCTTCCTATCCATGAGCATGGAATGTTCTTCCATTTGTTTGTATCCTCTTTTATTTCATTGAGCAGTGGTTTGTAGTTCTCCTTGAAGATTTCCTTCACATCCCTTGTAAGTTGGATTCTTAGGTATTTTATTCTCTTTGAAGCAATTGTGAATGGGAGTTCACTCATGATTTGGCTCTCTGTTTGTCTGTTATTGGTGTATAAGAATGCTTGTGATTTTTGCACATTGATTTTGTATCCTGAGACTTTGCTGAAGTTGCTTATCAGCTTAAGGAGATTTTGGGCAGAGAAGATTAGGTTTTCTAAATATACAATGGCAAATTCTATTTTCTTACCAAGGTATGGTAACATCAATTTTAACCTTATAATTTTTTATCTTACTCTTTATTAGTTGTTATTACTCTGTATATGTATGTTTTGCTCCACAATAAAAAATGTTAAAAAAGCAGAAACCTAAAGTACATTTCTAAGTGTAAAATTAGGGTGATGCAGCATATTCTTATAGATATCATTGTAATTAGAGTTTTTGCTGAATAAAGAATAGAGGATTATGGTACTAAGAAATCCAAGTTAAAATTTAAAACTTTTCTATTTTTATTTTGAGACAGGATCTGACTCTGTTGTCCAGGCTGGAGTGCACAAGAACAATCTTGGCTCAATGCAGCCTCTGTCACCTTGGCTCAAGTGATTCTCCCATCTTAGCCTCCAGAGTAGCTAGGACAACAGGCGTGCACCACTACGCCCTGCTAATTTTTTCTATTTTTTTGTAGAGACATGGTTTTGCCATGTTGCCCAGGCAGGTCTTGAACTCCTGTGCTTAGGCAATCCACCTGCCTCAGCCTCCCAAATGATGGGATTACAGGTGTGAGCCACCACACCTGGCCCAAAACATTACTTAAATTAATTCACACAAAAGAAGAGATAGGCAAGAATTGTTAATCCACTTTCTTAGTGCTAATATGAATTTGAAACATCAAAATTTGAATATCCATGATTGATAGACACCTTTTTTCTTATTTCCAATTTAATTATTTATGATACACATTTGAAAGTGTAAGAAATTCAGGAATTTACAATAAATTATAGTACGATGGATATTAAATATATTAAATTAAATGTATTAAAAATGTGTCTCTAAATGAAATATTTATATTCACATTGTTAGCATTCTAATTTCACTGTACTATTCCTGTGTACACCAGTGTGTTGGGTAAAATTTTTTGTTACTATAAATTTTTTGGCTGTCCATTAGAGAAAAAAATCATAGAAAGGCAAATTTTTTAAGGTATAAAAAATAATTTAGCCTGATCTTTGAGCATGTTTGTGCACATATAATGCTACTTTGACTGCTGTAGTAAAATAATCCAGATTTAGTCACCATAGCTAAGAATGAGAAAAAGCATTTGTGATAGTTTGCTGAGAATGCCGTCATTTTTTGATAAAGTTTTAAGTACTGTTTTACTATTTGATCTTTTAAAGATTGTTAAAAACTAAGAAGTGTTGATTTCTGCTAATAAAAACAGCTTAAAATTTATATCATGGAATAGAATGGTGGAGCTGTGGCGGAGATACTTTGTCTTATTAATTGAAATGACATTTTGAGATCCAGTGCTGCTCACTGAATTTCCCTGTGAGGAGAGTTTGTGGTGATGACCCCACAACAGACAAGCTACTATCCAAAAAAACTCCTCACATCAAATCAATTTCCAGTTTCTTCCAAGTTGCAGGAGGATGCCTAGACCTTGGTTTTATTCTCTTCTTTGACCAAAGTATTACAAAAGGAAGAAAATCATTACCATTTTCATGTCAGGAGGGTGGCATGGAGATGGACTTAGCCTATTTTCGGTGTTCCATCTCTTGCCCTTTATAAGGGTTAGTTGACTGTTTATGATACATTCCGGTATTTCCCATTTTTGTTTTGGTTCATTTCTAAGTGTGCATTATAATTTTAATATTAAAGTTTTTGATTAGGAGAAATGTCTCATAGAAATTATTATTACTCATCTGATTATATACTGAAGGGAAAAATCAATTAGTTGTATATACATTCTTATACAACTCTAAGATAGTTGAAATAGGAACTTTCTTATTTAGTTGCATCATGAGGAAATTTGAGATGATGTTATCTGCCAAGCGCAGATCTCTCCAAAGGATTTCTTCTAGCCTTAATTATCCACCTCACAGGACAAACCTTTGCCATTCCCCATCTATTTTTTCTTTCGGCTCCTCAATTCCTGACACAACAAAGTTGTACATATTTCCCACACTCTTGGTTTAGCAGAGTTCTTTTATCAGTTATGTTTTTCTGCAAGAGAAGACCCTCTAAAACATTAGACATATATATCTCACATGTCTTTGGATTTCATTTGTGTGTGTGTGTGTTTTCTGTTTTTTGAGATGGAGTCTCACTCTGTTGCCCAGGCTGGAGTGCAGTGGCACTATCTTGGCTCACTGCAACCTCCACCTCCAGGGTTCAAGCGATTCTCCTGCCTCACCCTTCTGAGTAGATGGGACTACAGGCACACTCCACTGAGCCCACCTAATTTTTGTATTTTTAGTAGAGATGGGGTTTCACCATGTTGGCCAGGATGGTCTCAATCTCTTGACTTCGTGATCTGCCCTCCTCAGCCTCCTCCACACCTGGCCTGGATTTCATTTTTCTAAGCTGGGTTTGATGGATGGCTCTGGTGATTTGAGATGGGCCAAATTCGGCATCTTGGAGATAGAGTTTGGCCAATTTAGTCTGGATCAGGTGGGGGCAATCTGACTACATTACTTTCTCATTCTCCTTCTGGGAACAGTGTACTTGCGAGGCGATATTCTCATGGTAAATGGAAAGAGGAAGAATCCCCAGTATGGAAGCCATCTCAAATCTCTATGCAAAGTGTAGTAATTTTCTGTTTATCAAAGTAAGTTAAATGATTGAACTCCAAGTTCAGGGGAAAGGTAGTCAGTCTTCCTGTGATAGGAGGATACTGCAAGATTATATACCAAAGGGTCGGGTACTCAGGAATTCTTATAAAATGGCTAAATATTTTATATAATAATAAATATTTAAACATTAGACTTGAGAGAAACTTTACCAAAGGCCTAAGAATTAGAGATATGTTTGATAAATAAATATTATTCATGGGCTGAAAACTCTTGAGTGGGAAAATAGGGCTAATTTCATCTGGACAACTTCTTGGAAACTCATTTTTTATTTTGGAAATTATGAGAAAATAATTTGTTCCATTCATAAGTGGTGTGCACATGCGTGTATTTGTGTTCATATTTATGAGCTTGTGAATAATGAAGTTATACAAAAGTATTAGCAGCAACCAAATCTTATGGAGTATTGGCCTGCCTGTGGTTCTCAAGAAAATCTTAGATGCTTTTGATAAAAGCAGTTTGGATTCTGTGTATACAAATCTGGCATTTTAAAAAGTCCATATTGGTAATGATCTTAGTTGTGACCAAGCTCCCTTTAAGACTTTAGACATTTGCTATATGATCTATGTATTGGGTTATAAAACTTCCCAAACAACTGAAGTTGCTAAACACAAATGATGGAGAGGTTACACAAAGAAAAATTGCAAACTCTGAAAGAGAGTACATTCTTATTTGTGTACTAGCAAATGAGGATTCAGGTTTCCAGTCAATTTCAGTATGAATAATTCTAGCCTGTAACAAGAACAAACAGTGAATGAATGAGTTAATTTGAGTTGTTTGAAAATAAGAATGTTTTCCATAAAGAGATCATTGAACTCATCAGTTAACACGCCATGGTGATTTCTGGCTTGACACTGGTCACAACGTTTAAAAGTAAAAAGAATGACCCAGCAGATTTACAAATTAGGTGCATATAGAATTTAAGGTCAGGATATTCAAGCAATCACAACCAGTGATATTACATTGAGAGGTGAAGCCAGCTGGACTTCCTGGGTGGAGTGGAGATTTGGAGAACTATTCTGAAGCTAGCAAGGGGATTGTAAAATGCACCAATCAGTGCTCTGTAAAAGGCACCAATCAGCACTCTTTAGGTAGCATGGGGATTATAAAATGCACCAATCAGCACTCTTTAGGTAGCATGGGAATTATAAAATGCACCAGTCAACACTCTGTAAAAATGCACCAATCAGCACTCTAGCTAGCCAGAGGATTGTAAAATGCACCAATCAGCTCTCTGTAAAAGGCACCAATCAGCGCTCCATAAAACGCACCAATCATCAGGATCCTAAAAGTAGCCAATCACAGGGAGGATTGAAAAAAGGGCACTCTGATAGGACAAAAATGGAACATGGGAGGGGACAAATAAGGGAATAAAAGCTGGCCATTCCAGCCCACGGGGCAGCCCACGGGGCAACCCACTCAGGCCCCCTTCCACCCTGTGGAACCTTTGTCCTTTTGCTCTTAACAATAAACCTTGCTACCACTCAGTCTTTGGGTCCACACAGTCTTTAAGAGCTGAAACCTTGCTACTGCTCAGCCCTGGGGCCATGCCATCTTTAAGAGCTGTAACATCACTGCAAAGGTCCGTGCCTCCATTCTTGAAGTCAGCGAGACCACGAACCCACCTGCAGGAACCAACTCCGGATACAACACCAGCATTTTAAAAATTTCTTTTTGTCTGTTCAGACATGATAACTTTTCTGCCCATCATATTTTCCATTCTAGTAGTGGTTACATTTGTTATTGGAAATTTTGCTAATGGCTTCATAGCGTTGGTAAATTCCACCGAGTGGGTGAAGAGACAAAAGATCTCCTTTGCTGACCAAATTGTCACTGCTCTGGCGGTCTCCAGAGTTGGTTTGCTCTGGGTGTTATTATTAAATTGGTATTCAACTGTGTTGAATCCAGCTTTTTATAGTGTAGAATTAAGAACTACTGCTTATAATATCTGGGCAGTAACCGGCCATTTCAGCAACTGGCCTGCTACTAGCCTCAGCATATTTTATTTGCTCAAGATTGCCAATTTCTCCAACCTTATTTTTCTTCGCTTAAAGAGGAGAGTTAAGAGTGTCATTCTGGTGGTGCTGTTGGGGCCTTTGCTATTTTTGGCTTGTCATCTTTTTGTGGTAAACATGAATCAGATTGTATGGACAAAAGAATATGAAGGAAACATGACTTGGAAGATCAAATTGAGGCGTGCAATGTACCTTTCAGATACGACTGTAACCATGCTAGCAAACTTAGTACCCTTTACTGTAACCCTGATATCTTTTCTGCTGTTAGTCTGTTCTCTGTGTAAACATCTCAAGAAGATGCAGCTCCATGGCAAAGGATCTCAAGATCCCAGTACCAAGGTCCACATAAAAGTTTTGCAAACTGTGATCTCCTTCTTCTTGTTACGTGCCATTTACTTTGTGTCTGTAATAATATCAGTTTGGAGTTTTAAGAATCTGGAAAACAAACCTGTCTTCATGTTCTGCCAAGCTATTGGATTCAGCTGTTCTTCAGCCCACCCGTTCATCCTGATTTGGGGAAACAAGAAGCTAAAGCAGACTTATCTTTCAGTTTTGTGGCAAATGAGGTACTGAGTGAAAGGAGAGAAGCCTTCATCTCCATAGATTCAGAAGAGGGGCATTGTGTGTCTTCTAGCAGAAAACAAACTGGTGGTGTATGAAACATTTTATATTTCTTACAGTGTTTTCTGTAATGTATGTGTATGAATAATTTCCAAACATATACCTAGATAAATCTTTAACCTAGTCTAAAAAATGTATGTATGTGTGTGTGTATGTGTGTGTGAAAAACTTAAGAACATTGACAATAACATACTCTTTTTTGTTTTTTTCATATGAACTGCCAGATTATACAAAATATGACAAAAATTCCTCAGAATTATGAAGCCATGTGTATTTCATTCATGTATTTTATCTTTCATTTGTAGAATTTACAATGTCTATTTATAATTATTAAGAACTAACAGCTTATCTCAGGAAAGATATTGCTGTTTTCTATTGTTATTTGAACCACACAAATATACCACAGTGTGCTTAGAAATCATTGTTTGAACCTCTATCTTATTGGATGGTAAGGTCATTCAATTCTAAACCAATAATGTGGATGTATCTTTGGGGTTTTATTCCATTATGAATTCCTATTTTATGGTTAGTAAAAAGCAAACAGAATTATTGTAAACAATGCACACTATAGAATTCGAGTGACAAGTATAGGTAGAATAAATTTCATATATGTCTACCATAAACAGTACTGAAGAATACTAGATTTAAAGCAATTATGTGAATAGCTTAGAAAAAAATCTCTTTGATAATAAAGGGAGGAAATATGATCATGGTCTTGATTGCTATTATCGGTTTCCATACGCAGTTAGAAACGTCATTTCTTCCAGCTTTTGAATTAAAGAAAAGCTGTTTTTGAAGTTGAGATCTGATGTAAATTATTTTAGTATTTTTTTCTAAGACACTTCTAAGCCCCTGAATTGCTAATTATATCCTCATCTTCCATTTACAAAATTCCTTCTAAACTTCAGATAAGAGAACTCAAATCTTCTCTTTTCTAAAAAAAAAAACTATCAATGTAAAAATAGTATAGAAATTATGGAAAATAATTCAGTGAAACTTTTTGTAAATGTTAAAATAGTATCTATGAAATCTATGTATTAATTATGGGATGTGCCTTACCATTGTAATTTTGTTGTCAGTGATGAAAGTGTTTTGACATATTCATTAACAGGAAGTTCTATTATAAGAAAGAAATGTACAGTCTTGTTCACAGCTAAATTCTATATGACTACATTAATTCTTGGTGTTATGAAGTTTTAACAATGTTATTTAATGTTATTTAAACCTTAAGATAAATCATCCCCACACCTGATTTATGTAATTTTTTAATCATATATCTTCCTCAGTACAATGTAAGAACTGTAAAGAAAGAGATCATGTCTGTCTTGCTTTCTGTTGATTCCCAGGACCTAGAACCCAGCACCAAGAATAGATGGCCAAAAATGATACTTTAATGAACAAATAAATGGGTGGCTAAAATGGATAAGTTGATGTGGTAAATCAATGAAAAGGAAACTCATCACAAAATCTGCAGTTGCATGAATTCCCCTGTTCTGGTCTCAGGTTGAGGTTTCAGGCTTATCCAAGCAGAATCCTTCCTCAGAGGAAAAGTTTGGCTATTCCACAATTTTAGGGGAAATATCACACTAGTGATATATATAGTGATATATAGTCACACTATATATATATATAGTGATATATAGTCTTGATGCAGCTGTGTCAGGTGTCTGAATTGGAGACAAGGTAAAACATCAAAATTAGATGGCACCTTGGAAGGCTGAGGCGGGCGGATCACGAGGTCAGGATATCGAGACCATCCCGGCTACTATGGTGAAACCCCGTCTCCACTAAAAATACAAAAAAATTAGCTGGGAGTGGTGGTGGGCACCTGTATTCCCAGCTACTCGGAAGGCTGTGGCCGGAGAATGGCGTGAACGTGGGTGGCAGAGCTTGCAGTGAGCCGAGACCGCGCCACTGCATTCCAGCCTGGGCGACAGACAAAAAAAAAAAAAGAAAAGAAAAAATTAGGTGGCACCTATGACAATACTTTAAAAAGCATATAAAAGACTTTGGTCTATTTGCATAAGTATTTTTTTATTGTGAATTATATATTTGTGTTATGATATTTTCTAGTTGATTATTAGGTAAACAAAATGGCATTTCATTTCAAAAAATTGAGTTAGTAACCAGCTACTTGACCAAAATGTTTTTAATTAATACCTGTTAATGAAAGTGATGACATTTATTTAGAAGTAAAGTTCAAGACAAAAATGGCAGGGACATGTGGAAATTGAGACAGGAAGAAATGTGAAACAATGCTCTAGTCGCTTTGAATTCTGCTGGATCATCTGGCACAGTGGCCATAGCAGCTTGGACCAGAGCCTGTATCTGCTGTAGAGCCCTCTTTTGTTCTGGGTTCCACTTGAGACCAGTAGCCTTTGGAAACTTTATTAATGAGTCAGAGCAATATTTTCAAACGTGGAATATGTTGGCTCCAAAATCTCAATAGGTCCCCAAAACATTGTATCTCTTTTGTAGTGATAGGAAGTACATAGAGAGAGCAACATGCCATTTACTTTAAAAAAGATTGTTTTGACATGTGCCCTAGGGACACTGCACACCTTAAAACATCACCTATGCTGTAGGTCCCTGAATCTTCTCAGGTTTATTTCTTTTCTTCTGGTATTTTACTTCCATCCAACATTAGGGTATTTTACTATATTTAATAAACTTGCAACTTCCTGATTATTGTACCAACTAATACTTTATTATTATTGTTATTATTTTGAACAGGGTCTCATTCTATCCCTGAGGCTGGAGTTCAGTGGCAGGATCACACCTCATTACAGCCTCAACCTTCTGGGCTCAAGTGATTCTCCCACTTCCGCATTTCTAGCAGCTGGGACTGCAGGGGTACAACACCTTGCCTGGCTAATTTTGGTATTTCCTGTAGGGCTAGGATTTCACCATGTTACCCAGGCTGGTCTCAAACTCCTGGGCTGAAGTGATCTGTCTGTGTCGGCCTCCAAAAGTGCTGGGATTACAGTCATGTGCCACAGGGCCCGGTTTGTAATATTACTAATATATTAAATTAGCACGATGTTTTAAAAAATGTAAATTAAACTGAGAACAGAAGTGACATAGCCCTGACATAAAACAGTGAAGCAGTGCTATTATTCTTACAATACAAGCCAAATTGTTTTGATTTTCCTGCATAATGGGTGTAGATTAACAAACATTCACCAAATCATGAGCCCCGTAAAAAGTATCAAAAGCTCTGCTCTGCTCAGTGAAGATAGCACATCCTGGAAAGCATTTGTGAGTGTTGATTGAAGTTTATGGTAGTCTGCATTCACTATAACCTGTCTGTCTTTGGTAGAGGCCAGATAGGTTAAGTGAATCGGGTTATAGAAAGGACTACCATCCCCTGTAACTTTCAAGTGTTTTGTCATGACAGTGACCAGTTCCATTCCTTGGGGAATGCAGTTATTATATTTTATACATTGTGTTGCCAATGGAGGAGAATTTCAGAGGCTTCCCCTTGGTCCTGCTATAATAATGTTCCTTACTCTACAGTTCAGGAAGAATGTGATAGTTCTGCCAGCTGCCATACGTATCCATTTCAATTACACATTCAGGAAGAGGTAATAACTACAAACTGGTTAGATCCACCTTGGGATAGACATGAGCCGAAGCTCTGGGCAGCATCTGACCTTCAAGAACTCCCACTGCAGGCTGGATGTGATGGCGCATGCCTGTAGTCCTAGTACTTTGGGAGGCCAAGGTGGGAGGATCTTTTGAGAGCAGGAGTTCCCTTCGCAACATATGGAAACTCTGTCTCTACAAAAAATTTAAAAAATTAGCTGGCGGGGTGGTGCATGCCTATAGTTCCAAATACTTGGGAAGCTGAGGCAGGAGGATTGCTTGAGCCCAGGAGTTCCAGGCTGCAGTGGGCTATGATCCTGCCACTGTACTCCAGCTTGGGTAACAAACGGAGACTGTCTCGGAGGAAGAAAAAAAAAAGAAGTGCAAGTTCTCACTGGTATCTTAAATATCAAGTAAAAAGGGATCAAATCAATAATTAACAATCTTTGGTTCCTGCCTATAGCAAACAGGTAAAATGGAAAGTAGTTATACAAAGGGTATATTATATTAACTCCTAACAAAATTAAACAAAGCCAGTTTTTTTTCATCTCCTTTCATTTTTTTTTTTTTTGAAACAGGGTGTTGCTCTGTCTCCCCGTTGGAGTGCAGTGGTGTGATCTCGACCAATTACAACCTCCGTCTCCTGGGTTCAAATGATTCTCCTGCCGCAGCCAACCAAGTACCTAGGATCATAGGCATGCACAACCACAACTGGCAAATTTTTGTATTTTTAGTGGAGACAGGGTTTCACCATGTTGGCCATGCTGTTTTCTAACTCCTGACCTCAGGTGATCCACCTGCCTCGGCCTCCCAAAGTGCTGGAATTACAGGCCTGAGCCACCGTGCCCAGCCTATTATCTGCTTTTTATAGGTAATTATACTGAGGCAGGCAGTAGTTGTAAAATGGAGTCTCACATATCTGTATGAAACAGGGAATCTGGTTTCCTGTCTTTGTAGTCTGACTCGAAGATCCCCTCTTAGAAACCATTATAGTGTAAAAACTGAAAAGATATAAAATCCAAGATTGGAGACTGATTTTAATATCTATTCATCTTAAACCATTTAGTAATCAAAAATAAATAGGGAAAAATAAAGCTGGATATTCATACATAGAGAAGTGTAGATTCTTCAATGGAAAACATGTTTTTTAAGTGTCCAAGGAATAGTTATAAAATTTCTGAGTATTTTAATTAAATAACTAAGATTTAAGTGTTAGACTCATGAGAATAACTTAGTCAAAGGCCTAAGCATGAGAGATTAAGTTTGATAAACATTGAAAATGGGCTGAAAAGCCTGAGTAAGAAAATTAATTACTTTTTCATTTTAGAAATTATAGGACAACAATTTTTCCCAACCGTCAGGGGTGTATATATGTGCATGTGAAAGTGCTTATGTTAATGAGCTTGTTAATAATAAGTTATACAAAATTATTAGTTGGCAGCAACCAGATTTTAAGGAATATTGGCCTTCTTGGGCTTCCGAAGAAAACCTTGGACGCTTTTGGTAGGAAAAGTTGGGATTCACTCTCCATAAATCCGGCGTTGAAAAAATGAATCAACAGTGGTCATGATTCTAGTTTTGACCAAGCTACATATAACAGTGTAGGCATCTGATGTATGATCTATGTATTAGGTTGGAAAATTTCCCTTACAACTGACATTGCTGAATACAAATTATATAGAGGTTAAACAAGGAAAAAAATTACAAAATGATGAATAAGAATATGACTTGATTTGCATGCTAGCAAATGAGAATTCAGCTTTCACATCAACATCAGTATGAAAATTTTTATCTTATAACAAGGACATAGTATTTGAATAGGAGTTAATTTGAGCTGTTTTGGAAATTATCATGTTTTCCATTAAGATAGCCTTGAACTCATTCAATAGCATGCTCCGGTGGTTTCCTGCTTGGCATTAGTCAGAGAACTTAAAAGGAACAGGAACATTACTGCACAACCAGAAATCAGGTGCACATAGAAATTAAGGTCAGGACCTTAAAGGGAATCTTGCCCATTGATATTAGTCCTGCCCTAAAAAAAGTCGGACATGGTATGTTTACTACTAATCATTTTTTTTCCATAACGTTAATGGTATTTTGTATTTTCCCATGGGCACCTACATTACACTTATAGACTATTTTGATATTTCAACCTATTATTTTCTTTGAATCCTTTTAAGGAGTTGTTAAACAATGCTGAAATTTGCCTTACAGTATGCTGTTAACTAATCATATTTCTCAAAGTCATTTGACATAATGTTTGGTTAAAGGAAATATGTCTAGCATAGTTATACCCGTTCATAACAAAAGAGTATTTAAATCTTTAAGAAAAAATATTAGAAAAGCTAATAATATGAATAAATAAATATATGAAGTATATAATTCATTATTAATATATGTGCATGAAATCATGGTCATAGAATTTAAAAGTAATAATTTTTGAATTAAGGATACATTCTGAACTATAATAGAAAAAGGCTTCAAAAATGTTAGGTTTATAATGTTTCATATAGATACGAAAGTGTAAAAATTAGTCTGATGTTACTTATTTTGGAAAGCATATGAAGCAATGGGAATTTTCATACATTGCTCCTAGAATTGTAAATCAGAGCAATTACTTTGTCTGACTATGGCATTATCTGATTAAGTTGATGGATCACATTTGAACACCCAGTATTTGCACTGTTATCAGAATATATGTGCACACACATGCATATCACTGAGTTTTAATAGCTAAAGTTGAGAAGTCTCTCAAATATCCATCAGTGATAAAATGGATAAGTAAATTATGGCATACTTGTACAATAGAATACTATACAGCAATCAAAATGAACTGTTGGAGACATGTGCTCGGAGTAGCCAAAAGAAATCCCCACTTGGACAATTTCTCAGCAAGGCACCTTTACGTCAGCAGAAGGGTGCTGCTTGCACCTGTTACAATCCCAAGAGAAGAGCATACCTAACAAAGGAGGGAAGGAGTTTTTAATCCTAACACAGTTCCTGTTTCTGTGTCCTTCCCTTATTGGCTGGGGTTGGATTGCACAATCTAAGCTGATCCTGAATGGCTTAGACTTAAACTTTTCCAAATAGGGTAAACGCACATTTTGCAAAAAGAAAGAGGGGTGGGAGGTAGGATTCATTTACAACATTTACAACTTATGGCTGGGAAGTTGAGTCTTTAAAGAGGAATTTAGTTGTCCTAACGGAACCAGCTAGAGTGACATGTTTACAAAGAATATAAATAAAAAGAAAAATGAAGAAATTTGAACTACATAGATATGAGAGGAATTAAGTTTGAAAAAATGATTCAGTATAATTCCATTTATATAAAGTTTACAAAAATGTATTTTTAATAAATTGAAATTTATTACACTGGTGGTGAAATTCTAAGGTGAGACATATGAGTGATTATCCTAACAATTGGGATGGTAGGGATGGAGGAAACAAAAGGGAAATGTTATCAGTAAGATGGCATATATGGAGAGTGTCTGGATTGCTGGTGAAATCTACTTTATGACCATGATGTGGAATCATGACTCTTAATGCTATAATTTTTTTCTTTACTGTACATTAGACCTCATTACTTTATATACTTTATATATATATGTTATGTTTCACAATATTAAATATTTCACAATAATGAAAATATTTAAAAAGTAGAAACATACACTAAATGAATGAATATAAAATAGGCTGAACAAACATATTCTTATAGACATCATTGTAATTAGAGTTTTTGCTGAATAAAGAATAGAGCATTATGATAGTAATAAATCCAAGATAAAATTTTAAACTTTTTTTTAAATTAATTAGAAAAAGGAAGAGATAAGCAGGAAGACTACCTCCACATTCCTAATGTTATTCTTACTTTGAAACATCAGATTTTGAGCACTTATATTTTACTGGACACATTTTTTTCTTATTTCCAATTTAATTATTTATGATAACATTTCAAAGTGGCAGAAATTAGTGAATTTCCAATAAATTATAGTAGTATAGATATTAAATGTATAGGACAATTTTTCTAAATTTATCTTTAAATGAAATAATTATACACATATTTTTACCATTCAAAGATTATAATACCATGCATGTGTACACGTGTAAGGAAAAATATTTTGATACTGCAAATTTTTTTAATATTAGAGAAAAATTAGTAGAAAGATAATTTTATTAAGGCATAAAACATATTTAGTGTAGTTACTTTGACTGCTATAATAAAAACACCCAGATTTTGTGACAGTAGCTGAGAATGTAAATAAGCAGTCAAGAGAATTTAACTTGGTAATGATGCTATTAAAAGATGAAATGAAGCTTATTCAGTCTATAATTGCACAGAGTATTTGTGTAAGTTCATATGAAACTGGACCAAAACTAAACAGCCAAAAAAAGAGTATTATTTGCTTTAGGTCACTTTTGCCATAATTTTTAGAATGTGGTGAAAGAAAAAAAATAGCAAGTAAATCATTGGAAATGTGTTGGCTTTGCGTTATTCCTGATGAAATACTATATGAGGTTATTTGTCTAGGCCTGATTCTGAGAATAATATAAGAATGGTGCCAAGCACAGTGGCTCATGCCTGTAATCCCAGCACTCTAGGAGGTCAAGGCAGTGGATTCCCTGAGGTCAGGAGTTCCAGACCAGCCTGGCCAACATAGTGAAACCCTGTCTCTACTAAAAATACAAAAATTGACGGGTGGGGTGGTGGGCACCTGTAATCATAGGTACTTGGGAGGCTGAGGCAGGAGAATTGATTGAATCAGGGAGGCAGAGGTTTCTGCAAGCCGAGATTGTGCCATTGCACTCCAGCCTGGGTGACAAGGGAGAAACTTCATCTGAGAAAAAAAAAAAAATTGTAAATCCATGAGGAAGAATAAGAGTGTTCTCCCATCACCCTTAACTCCAGTACTTTGAAAAGAAGACCCAAATCACAGTTATTTGGTAACATTCTCCCTTTTAGTTGACATCATCATCATTATTATCATCATCTCTATTTACATCTGTTTTATGAAATGATTTATTTTTGAAATATTTACATACATAATTTCGTAACATCTATGTAATTTCTAAGAGATATCATTGTGGGAAAGTTACATTAGTAAACAGCAAAGTTCAAGTAACAATAAATACATTTAGATTTAGAAAGTTAAGTGTAGTGTAGTTTAACATACATTGCTTAAGAAAACAATTGTAGATGACATTAAACTAAACCAAGAAACACTATAAAAAAGATTTTGATTTTAGTATAAATAAAATTCCTTAATAAGAAAAATAAACCATTTCATGATCAAGCTCTGATTTACAAAGAGAGGATTTTAGGGCTAAATAAATCAAAGAGAAGTAAGCCTTCCCCCACATCTTCTCTATTTCATTTAGGTAATGATGGGGTTCAGAGGCACAGAGCCCCATTTCTACAACATAAGCAAAGTGAAAATTAATTCATTGAATACAGCAATGTAGCTGTGGTAGATGAACTATATTTTATCTATTGCCATGATATTTTGAGATCCAGTGCTGCTCATTGAGTTCCCCTGTGGGCAGAGTTTGTGGTGAGGAGCCAGCAACAGACAAGCTAATATCCAAAAACATCTACTCACATCAACTTAATTTCCAGTTTCTTTCAAATTGAAGGTAAGTTCCAAGACAAACTTTTTATTCTATTCTCTGACCAAGTGTTGGGAAAAGAAAACTGTTACCATTTTCATTTCTAGCATACTAAAACAAAAAACATAAAAACCCCAAAATCTAAAACACTTTTAAAAATAACATGGTGTTAAGAGTAGTTTGTTCAGTTTCCCTATAGAAAATGATTTATGGAAGGAGAATAAAAGATTATTCTGAACACTAAAACAATAAGACCAAAAAAATGAATTATCAATATTGAGAATCCAATAGACAGAATTAGCCTGTTAGATGCAGTAGAAGAGAGAATTAGTGAATTGGAAGATAGCTAAACAGAATGAAGCATAGAGAGAAACAGATGGAAATATACCAAGCTAGAGGGTATCACATTGATGCTACAGTCAGAACACCTAACATACTTCTGGAGTTCTGTAAGATTAGAGGAGAGAAAATCAAGCAAGAGAAATGTTGCAAGGATTTTTCCAAAAGTGATAAAATGTATTCCTCCATATATTTTTAGTAATCTCAAACTTCAAGCATGATAAATTAAACCAAATTAGCATAAAATAATACAGGACACCAAAGACCAATAGAAAATCTGAAAAGTAGCGAGAGGTGGAAGATAGAGTATGTCGTGTGTTGAAAAGAACTGCATTCTAAATACAACCTGATTTTAACAGAAAACATGGAAGAAGGAACTCAATGGAAACATGTCTTCAGTGCATTTCCAAAGAGTAGTAGAACTTCATAAACAGAAATTGAAAATATTTTTCAGAGAAAATAAAAATGACTGCAAATGCAAAGTTGAACATGCAAGGAGCAATAAAAATTATTGACAATGAAAAATAAGTGTAATTCTAAATAAATGTTGACTGTATAAAAATTATTGTCTTGTTAGATTAAATTTATAATTGATAAGATATATGCAAATGGCAATAAAGAGACTGGAGATAAAGGTGACAGGAATAAATTTAGTTAGACTATGTTTTGGGCTTTTCTATGTCTGTGCAGATAATTTGAACATCATAATCAAGGACCCTGTAATTCTACACCCAGGTATATATATGCAAAAGAATTGTAGTAAATGATGTAGGTCATTGAAGCATTATTCATAATAGCTAAAAAATAAGCTGCCCAAATATATATCAAATAAAGATGGATAAATAATTACAGTAAAATCATAAAATGGAAAAATATGGAGAAATGAAATGAAATAAATCACATGTACATGCAACTATGGGATTAAATTTCTGATACAGAATGTTGATTTCAGGAAGCCATGAATAAGAACATATAGAATTGCACCTATACACAGTTCAAAGAAGGCCAAACCAAGCTATTGAGTTTAGGGTCGCATACCTAGTTGGTAAAGTATAAAGAAAATTTTAAAAAGATCAACATAAATTATGGATGTTGCTTATCACAGGAGATGTGAAGAAACGTGTAGCAGATTGGAAAGTGGCATTGAGGTAAACCTAGGCTCTTAGCAATTTTCCATGTCTTGCCCTACATGATGATTACATGAGTATTTATGACACATTGCTATGCTTCCCAGTTTTGTTTTGGCTCATTTCTAAGTGTGCACTCTAGTTACAATACAAAAATTGTTAATGAGGAGAAATGTTCCATGAAATTATTATTACTCTGCTCATTATATACTGAAGGGAAAAATCCACTATTTGTATACATTCATGTATAACTCTAAGAGGTTTTAAGTAGAAATGTTCTGATTTTAGTTGTAACTTTTGGAAATTTGACATGATGTTACCTGCCAACCCCACGTTTTTCAATAGGTTTTTCTTCTAGGTTTAATTATCTACTTCATATGACAAAACTTTGACATTCTCCATCTATTTTTCCCTTGGATCCAGAATTCCTAACACAACAAGGGTGGTCATGTTACCCACACTCTTAGTTTAGCAGAATACCTATATCAGTTATGTTTTTCTGCAAGAGAAAATCCTCCAAAACTGCTTTAGATATTTGTGTCTCATAAGTCTTTGGATTTCATTTTTCTAAGCTTGGTTTGGCAGATGGCTCTGGTGATTGGAGATGGGCCACATACTGCATCTTGCAGCTAGTTTGGCTGATTTAGGCTGGATCAGGTAGTGGCATTCTGACTCCATTAGTTTCTCATTCTTCTTCTGGGAACAGTGTACTAGCCAGATGATGTCCTCATGGTAAAAGGAAAAGAGCAGGAAACTCCAACATGGAAGCTGTCTTAAATATCTGTGTAAAGTCTACTAACTTCCTGTTGACTGAAGCAAATTAGAGGAGTGAATTTAGAGTCCAAGTTCAAGGTAGTCACCCTGCCTATGGTGGGAGGATACTGCAGGATTATATGACAAAATGTAGGGTACTTAGAAACATTTACAAAATTGCTGAATATTTTAATTAAAATTTAAACAAAAAACAGACTTGAATGTAAATTTACCAAAGACCTAAGCATAAGAAACATGTTTGATAAACATTATTCATTGTCTGACAACGCTGAATAGGAAAATAGTACTAATTCTACCTGGATGACCTCCTGGAAACTCGTTTTCCATTTGGTGAGTAATAAGAAAATAATTCCTTCCATCCCCTAATGGTGTGAGTGCATGTGTGTCTATGTGTTTAGGAGCTTATTAACAATAATGTCATATAAATGTATTGGTTATCAGAAACCAGATTTTCAGGTGTATTGGCCTCACAGGACTTTCCAAGATAACCTTGGATGATTTTGACAAAAGGTTTAGAATCTGGTATTTAAATCTGGCATAAAAATAAATCCATATTGATATGATCCTATTTATGACCAAGCTCCTTTAACAATTTAGACATTTACTGTATGATATATGTATTGGGTTTTAAAATTTCCCTATGTAACAACTGAAGATGCTGGATACAAATTATGGAGAGGTTAAACAAGAAAAAAATTGCAAAACAATGAAAAAGAATATGGCTTTATTTGCATACTAACACACGAGAATTCACTTTTGACTTCAACATCAGTATAAAACATTTCAGCATATAGCAAGGACAGATAGTCTATAAAGAGGAATGAGTTTCAGCTGTTTTGAGATTAATAATATTTTCCCTAAAGACAGCTTTGAATTCATCCATTGGCATATGCTGGTGCTTTCCTGTTGACATTAGAGAACTTAAAGGCAGAAAATGTTACTGCACATTTAGAAATCAAGTGTTTATCGAAGTTAATGTCTGGATATTAAGGGAATCACAACCAGTGTTATTAAGCCTGCATTTTTTTTTTTTTGTTGTTCAAACATATGTGTTCTGCTCATCATTTTATCAATTCTGGTAGTGTTTGCATTTGTTCTTGGAAATGTTGCCAATGGCTTCATAGCTCTAATTAATGTCAATGACTGGGTTAAGACACAAAAGATCTCCTCAACTGACCAAATTGTCACTGCTCTGGCATTCTCCAGAATTGGTTTACTTTGATCATATTATTACATTGGTATGCAACTGTGTTTAATTCAGCTTTATATAGTTTAGAAGTAAGAATTGTTCCTTCTAATGTCTCGGCAATAATCAATCATTTCAGCATTTGGCTTGCTACGAGCCTCAGCATATTTTATTTGTTCAAGATTGCCAATTTCTCCAATTTTATTTTTCTCCACCTAAAGAAGAGAATTAAGAGTGTTCTTCTTGTGATACTGTTGGGGTCCTTGGTATTTTTGATTTGTAATCTTGCTGTGGTAACCATGGATGACAGTGTGTGGACAAAAGAATTTGAAGGAAATGTGACTTGGAAGATCGAATTGAGGAATGCAATACACCTTTCAAACATGACTATAACCAACCATGCTAGCAAACTTCACACTGTTCATTCTGACTCTAATATCTTTTCTGCTGTTAGTCTGTTCTCCGTGTAAACATCTCAAGATGATGCAGCTCCATGGCAAAGGATCTCAAGATCTCAGCACCAAGGTCCATATAAAACCTTTGCAAACTGTTATCTCCTTCCGTATGTTATTTGCCATTTACTTTCTGTGTATAATCACATCAACTTGGAATCCTAGGACACAGCAGAGCAATCTTGTATTCCTGCTTTACCAAACTCTTGCAATCATGTATCCTTCATTCCACTCATTCATCCTGATTATGAGAAGTAGGAAGCTAAAACAGACCTCTCTTTCAGTTTTGTGTCAGGTGACGTGCTGGGTGAAATAACAGAAACCCTCAACTCCATAGATTCACAAGGGGAGCATGGTGTGTCTTTTAGCAGAAAAGAAACTGATGGTGTCTAGAACGTTTTATATTTCTGTCAGTTTGTTGTAGTGTATGTATGTGAGTAATTTCAAAACAGATTCCTAGGATAGTCTTTTATATATATATAATATATATAAAATTCATATATATATAAAATACGTATGGGTGTATATGTGTGCATGTGTGTGAATAATAACATTGACCATAAATTATGAAGCCTAGTATATTTCACATATATAAGTATGTGTATTTTATGATAGCTAATTGTATGATATTTCATTTGAAGAATTTATCTCTCTTTGTAATTAAGAAATTACAGCATTTATCAGAAAATCATTGCTGTTTTCCATTGTAATTTGTACCACATACATGTACTTAACTATCATTGTTTGAACCTCTCATTTTCTGGATGGTAAAGACATTCAATTCTAAATCAATGATGAGACTGTATCTTTGTAGTAGGTTTTATTTCATTATGAATTCTTACTTTACTTTTAGTATAAAGCAAATAGAATTTTTGTTAGATAATGATGTACACAATAAAATTAGTGTACATATTAAATAAAATCAGTGACAAACATGTAGAGTATATGTATTTGCCTTTGGGAAGGCAAATTTTGTATATGTATAACAAAACTGTACTAAAGAATACTAGATTTAATACCAGTATGTGAATAGCTTAGAAAAAAATCATTTCTATAATAGGAATGAAGAAACAAAACCATGATCATTTCAGTGCTATTATAATTTTTTAAGTGTAGTTAGAAAAATCATTTCTTCCACCTTTTGAGTTAAAGAAAATCTTTTTTGAAGTTGACATCTGATGTCAAGTATTTCCATTTATTTTGCTTAGCAACCTCTGAGCCTCTGAATTTCCAATATTCTTCTTTGTCTCCCATTCCTGATATTCCTCAAAAAAACTCAAATATTCCCTTTCTTTAAAAAAAAAAGCCCAACATAAACAGGGTGTAGAAACTATAGATGATAATCGAATGAAACTTTCTTCAAATGTTAAAAATTGCCTGTGAAATCTATATATTGATGATAGGAAATATATTAATGACTTTATTATAATGATGTAAATGGTGAAATGATACAAAGTGTGCTGATGTATCCATTGATACCAAGTTCTATTATAAGAAGGTAATCTACAGCCTTGTGGAACAGCTAAATTCTGTGTGACTATATTCATTCTTGGTGTTATGAAATTTTAACATTGTTATCTCAACCTTAAAATAAATCAACTCCTCATATTATATATATATAATATATATATACACACATACATTTTGTTTATCATACATCTTCCCTAGTACTATGTAATCAGCATAAAAAGAGAGGTAATAGCTGTCTTGCTTTCTCTTGACTCACAGGATCTAAAAGCCAGCACAAAGAATAGTTGGTCAAAAGAATATATTAATGAACACATAAGTGATTGGATAAATGGATAATTTGTTGTGGTAAACCAATGACAATGAAACTCATCACAAAATCTGCAGTTGCTTGAATTTTCTAGTTTCAGGTTGAGGTTATAGGCTTATCAAAGAAGAAGCATTTCTCAGAGCAAAAGTTTGACTGTTCCAAAATTCTAGGGGAAATATCACTGTAATATAGCTTTGCTGTAGCTATATCAGGTGTGTGAAGTAGAGACAAGGTGGAACGTCAAAATTAGATGGCACTTATTCTAATGCTTTTTGAAAAGCATATTAAAGATTTTGGTATATTTGCACAGGGTCAGGGTCAGCAGTGTGTGCCAGCTGCTCGGGGCTAGCTGACCCCATGACAAGAATGTTAGGGAACTTCCCAGTAGCTGCTAAACACACTTTTGTTTTTAGGGAATGTCTCTTTCTCCTTCATTATGACTTATGCTGCCTTCAATGCTTTGCTGATACAAAAGAAGTGAACTCAAAAGAAGTAAAAATAAAAGCTAGCAAACTTTGCAACTGGTTAAGCTGGTTGTAAACGTACCTAATCACTTTCTACTGTGAATGATATATTTGTATTGTGATATTTTTTAGCTGGTTATTAGATACACAAAAAAGGTATTTCATTTTTAAAAATTGAGTTAGTAACCACTCACCTTACTTACAAATTATTTGTATATTATTTTGTTTAGTATCCTTTCTAAATGAATGTTTTAATTGCCACGTTATAAACACATGGAAAAGTGATTCAGATGAATGTATATCTTAGCTTTGGGTGTCTAGAACTAGAGCCAATGTCTGATTTTACAGTGATGACATTTATTTGGGAAGGCAAGTCCAGGGCAGCAATGAGGGATACATGTGGAAACTGAGGCAAAGGAAGATGTAAAATCATGTGTCATGATGTTGATATGACTTTGCCAGTTGTCGCTTCACAATGAGGTGAGACAGACAGCATGGTGGTCATCAGATACATGCACTTGGCTCCCCGTACTTTTCCAGAAGGGTTACAAGGGGAAGCCACAACAAATATTAGTCCATGGAGGAGAGAAAAGGGAGAATGTATCCTAGCTGTCTTCTGTCTTCTATTTTCCTTTGGCCAAAGATTGTTTGAGGCAGAACTACCATCTTTGCTTTTCTTCCTTACATTATCCAACCCCTTGGTGGCTGTTTGGGAAAGTCACACTAACCAATACCCCCATTTTTCTAAGAGATAGTTTTTTTTTAATTTATTTTTTCTCTTTTCCTCTCCCCTTTCCCTATGTTTCCTGCTTTCTACTTAACTTTTTAGACATGCACATAGAACTGTTTACTTTCCCCTCACCAGACAGTCCCTTCGGGCAAGTTCATCTAACTGTGTGCTCCAAGAAGGATCTCTCCTTGAGACTTGACAGTTGATTTGCAGACAAAAGTATGCCCTCATCGAACTGTCACCTCCAGGGTTTAGCTTAGACCTCACATCCATTAGGAGGGGATGTGGAGAGGATGCCCAGGTGGCCACTTCTACAATGGCTGTCCTGCTCATTTCCTTCCCAACTTTAAAAAAAAATCCACTTTCTGCTCCAAAGGTGAAGTGTCACATTAGAAGGCAGGATGCTTTGTGCTCCTTCCCGCAAGCTAACTTCCAAATACATTCTCTATTTTTATATCAGACTCTTTTATTACTTTTTATTATTTTTTATATTAGACTTTACATGAAGTGAGCCGTTAACCTTTTTTGTTACAAGACTTCATGCCCACAGGTATATTCAAGTCCCAGATGGAAAGATGATCTGGATCAGGCAAGATGCTGACCAGGGGAACAGGAGACACAGTCAAGGGAATCTGAGGAAGTACATGTTTTTGCCCAATACAGTCCCCACCTTGTGCCACTCAGATGTCCTCATGCCCTCCAATTGTGGCTGGTTTTATAAGCACATGACTAGTGTAGTTGCACGCGGTCTTGTGCTTTTGGGATTTTTGCTTGGATTAATGTTCTGCACTTGCATTTTTATTTTTCAGACAGCGGATACTCCTCCGCTGAAGAGGGAATAGTTCTGCAGTAATTCCCTAGGGGTTTGCTTTCTCCTCTCCTAAGGGCTTGATGGAGACAGGCACAGAGTCCTATAATGCCCACGATGCATGCCTCTAGCAGCTTTGAATTCTGCTGGATCATCTGACGCAATGGGCAGAGCAGGTTTGGCCACAGCCTATATCTGCTGTAGAGATATCTTATGTTCTGGATTCCACTTGAAACCACTAGTCTTTGCATTCATTCTGCAACCCATCTAGTTTTGGCAGAGGCTAGGTAGGTTAACTGAACAGGGATTTAAAAAGGACTTTATTAACACGTTGGAGCAATATCCTCTATTGTGGTATTTGTGGACTCTGAAACCCCAAGAGGCTCAATAAACACTGTGCTTCCTTTTTAGTGATAAGAAGTATATATAGGGCAACATGCCATTTACCTTAAAAAGGATGTTTCTGCTGGGCGTGGTGGTTCAAGCCTGTAATCCCAGCACTTTGGGAGGCCAAGGTGGGCAGATCACTTGAGACCATGAGTTTGAGACCAGCCTGGATAACATGGTGAAACCCTGTCTCTACTTAAAAAAAAAAAAAAATGCCAGTCCTGGTGGCACATGCCTGTAAACACTGCTACTCAGGAGGCTGAAAGATTTGAACTGATTGAACCCAGGAGACAAAGCTTGCAGTAAGCCGAGATTGCACTAGTGCGCTCCAACCTGAGCAACAGAATGAGACTCTGTCTCAAAAATAAATAAATAAATAAATAAATGAATAAATAAACAGATTTTTTGACATGTGGACTAGGAGTATGGGACCCCTAAAAACAATATCTGTGTTGCAGGTCTCTAAATATTATCAGGTGTATCTCTTTCTGCTGGTATTTTATTTCTATTTAATGTTCAAGTATTTTACTATATTTAGGAAACTTTCCATTTCCTGGTTATTGCACCAATTACTGTAACATTATTAATAAATTAACATGATGTTTTGCAAAATGTAAATTAAACTGAGAGCAGAAGTGACATCGCCTGACATAAAACACTGAAGCAGCGTTTTTGTTCTTACCACACAAAGGTCAATTGTTTTAATCTCCTGACCCACCCATGGGTGTAAAATAAGAAACATTCACTAAATCAAGAGCCACATGCAAAGTGCCAGAAGCTCTGCTCTGCTCAGGGAAGATACCTTATCCTAGAGAGCATTTGTAAGTAGTGATTTAAATTTATGGAACTCTGCCCTCATTTTATAATGCATCTGATTTTGGTAGAGACCAGTTAGGTTAAGTGGAGAGGGATGTAAAAAGACTACCATCCCCTGTAACTTTCAAGTGTTTTGTCATGGTAGTGATCAATTCCATTCCTTGGAGAATGTGATTATTATTTTTCAATCCTTGTTGCCAGTGGAGGAGAATTTCGCAGGCTTCGCCTTGGTCCTGCTCTAATAGTGTCCCTTACTCTACAGGTCAGGAAGAAAGTGAGAGTCCTGCCAGCTGCCATGTGTGTCCATTTCAATTACACATTCAGGAAGAGGTAATAACAGCAAACTGATCAGATTCACTTTGGGATGGACATGAGTCAAAACTCTAGGTAGCATCTAACCTTCAAAAACTCCCAGTGCAGGCTGGGTATGACGGCTCATGCTTGCAGTCTCCACACTTTGGTAGGCACAGTTGGGAATATCTATTGAGGCCAGGAGTTCCAGACCACCCTGGGCTTCATGGTGAGAGCCTGTCTGTACAAAAACTAAAAAAAGAAAAAACAACAACAAAAAATTAGTTTGGCATGGTGGTGCTCACCTGTAGTCCCAGTTATCCAGGAGGCTGAGGCAGGATACTCCCTTGAACCTAAAAGCAATATGTGAGTCAGTTGCTGGCCACATCCAGAGTACTGTTAACAAGAGTGATGCCTGGTAGAAAAGTAATGAATTTATTCCAAACCTAGCTTGGGGAAGGGGCACAAAGAGTCCTGCCTTTAAGTGTACCACTTCACCTTTGGAGCAGAAAGCAGACACTTTTATAAGATAAGGGGGGTTATTGAGCAAGGGTAGAGGGTCCTCCTGCAAGCTTGGTGCCTTTTCTACCATGCGGGGGTCTGTCCTGCAGACCCTGACTCAATGACAGAGGAGTAATATACACCGACACATATATTTTGCTTGTCAGTCCAGCTGAGCATCCTGGCCACTTACAGACTCTAAGGAAGAGTGCTGTCAGCTGCCGCCCCAAATTGCTGGCCTTCTTGGCATTTATTTAGAACACATTAAATGACAAACGCTTTGAGTCAACACCATTAGAGGGTAATCAACCTGGTCACCTTCCCCCAGGAGAGCAATCCTGCCTGTGAGTGATGAAAGGTTAGCTTTAGGACTACCTGAGTAAACAAGCTCTTTAGATAAACTACTATACATTCCTTTGTATCTGTGCCCCAAGTGCCCAGGCTCCGGCAAAGAGACTGGCTGCCTTCAGCCAAACTATCTGAAGCTATGCAAAAACTTTTGGTCTTCCAAGAAGGTTTTTGTTTTGTTTTATACTTTTCCCTACCATTCTGACTGAACCCCTACACTACCAGATAGTTGAATTGGTGCCTTCCTTTGCAGAAATACGTTATAAAAGTGGCCAAGTGGGTATGTTTTCCATATGCCCTCCTGTTGGATGAAAGCCCTTGGGTAATTCCTAGAGTGGAGAAGAGCCTGGAATTTCCAGGTCCACTTTCTGGAGGTAAAAATTCTGTGGCGGGTGTGCTTTGGTCTGCAAATTGACTGTCAGTTCTCAGGAGAATCTGTCTTGGAGCACTAAGTTTGAAAATGTGCCCTGTAGGGAATGTCTAGTGAGTGGGAGTGAAAGGTTATATTTGCATTTATGAAGGGCTAAGCAGGATACAGGGAACAAAGAGAAAGGGGAGAGAAGAGAAGAGAAAATAATAATTAAAAAAACAGTAAATCATTCTCTTTTTCTTAGAAAAAAATGGGGCAATCTGTTACAAACCCAGGAGTTCAAGGCTGTAGTGAGTAATGATCATGCCACTGTACTAGATACAGCCTGGGTGACAGATTGAGGCTGTGTCTCTAAAAAAAATCTAAGGCAAATAACACAAAAAACAAAAGAACATTAAAAAGAAAATCTCCCATTCCATCTCATGGAACACGTTGTCTTTGGGGTACCTAGATATTAGTGTTAGTTCAGGCTCTGCTGGGGTGGCCAATATCTGGTTTACTGGTGGCAATTTCATACGAGTCTGCAGCAACGTCAAGTCTTGCCTCCCCAGAGGAAGGAATTCAACTGAGGGGCATACGTAAGAAGAGACTGAAGGAAGTTTCTGAGCAGGAATGGAAGTTTATTAAAAAGAGAGCAGGAAAGAAAGGAAGAGACTTTATTGGAAGTCTCTTGGAAGACACTTGGAAGAGACCACAGTGGGCACTTTGGAGATCAAGTGCAGTGTCACACCTTTGACTTGTGGTTTTATATGTTGGTATACTTCTGGGGTCTTGTGTTCCTTTTCCCACGATTCTTCTCTTAGGGTCTTGTGTTCCTTTTTCCATGATTCAGCCCCTTAGGGTGGGCTGCTCACATGCATGGTAGCTTGCTAACACTTTAGAGGTGAGTATGCGCAGTGTGTTTACTGGAATTGTACACATGCTTGCCTGAGGCATTCTTCCCTTTTTTGGTGGAATGCCCACAGAAGGTCATATTCCACCATTTTCTCTCTTAACACGCATGCCTCAGCCTACTCACCCTATTCCTGAGCTGCTGACTACCAATTTTAAGCGTTTTTATTTATTGTGAAATGCCTCTCCCTGGCACCTATGATCAATTATTATTTTTAGAGAGGCAGGGTGTCAACTGCCAGGCCATCAGCTGATGGCCACTTGACATTCCTTGTGGGTGGTGGGAGCCTTCTTCTGCCCTACTCATGCCTGACTAACTACGTACTGTAAGAGCCCTATACCTAAAAGTCTCAGATGGTATGGATGTGTGTCCTTCCCTCTGAGTACTATTATCTGGGAAATGGCTACAGGTCTTTGAGAAAGCATCATATGAATACATTCTGAATATTCTGTGGTGAATTTTCTGCATCTTTTATCAAGGGGACTTAAGCTTCCCTTCAGTTATTGAATTCTTGTTCTCTGAATTGGCTCAGTCCTGACAACTGGTTGAGGTTCTTGGATTTTCCACTTCTAAGGCTGACCTCAGGAATCAGCTTTTCAGCTCCATTTTGCTCTTGGTTTATAAGTATTTATCAAAGTATGAAGCCTCTTCAACTATTGGCTTATGAACTCATTCCAATGAAGCTGCTACTGTCATCGTTTCATTGATTCTGACATTTGCAAGATCACCAGAGTCTGTGTTGCTGAGGTTAGTCTTCATGTTGCATGCTCTATTAGCCACATTGAACATAGTTTATTTGCATTTCAGGATGCTGTCCTCTCCTGATTTTATCTTTGTTCACTGGGCAGCACTTCTCAGTCTCCTTTGCTAGTTCTTTTTTGTCTCTAAACTGAAAATACCAATTTTCAACAGGGTCTCAATTCTTCAATCTCTACAATGATGCCTGTTGTGTTGGTGATCTCATGTATTCTCCTTACTGACAATGTAGTCAAATCAGTCAACAGACAGGCATAAGGGTGATTATCCATTTATATTGTTTATTTATTCACATATCTTGGTATATAGCACATTATGTAAATATTTTTCCTTCAAATGTCAAATTTACATTTAGAAGTAATAGTACGATGGTGGGTGCTCTGGCTTAAGCCCGTAATTGAGCAGCTTGGGAGGTTTAGGCAGGCAGATTTCTTCAGCGCAATTAGTGGAGACCAACCTGGGAAGAACGGCGAAGCCCAGTCTCTAGCAAAAATACAACAATTAGCCAGGTGTGGTGGCATCCATCTGTAGTCCTAGCTACTTGGGAGGCTAATGTGGGAGGATAGCTTGAGGCTGGGAGCTGTAGACAGCAGTGAGCCAATCTCAAACCACTGCACTCCATTTGGGGCTACAGAGTGAGACCATGTCTCAAAAAATGAAAAATAGAAAGAAGTAATAATACCAAAAATCTAAGGAGAAAGATGGAGTATCAATAATATTTTTGCTTGAATTTCCACTAAATCAGAGTGACGGTGACCCACCATCTAATTTAGTTTTATTTAAAATAGCATTATAGATATTGATAGATTACTATGCAGGGGATTATTATTATTATAGAAATAATGATCTAAGTAGAGAAATATACAGATGGAATTATGGTTGATTAACCCACTTATATTACTTGCAGTTGTACAGGTAGTATGTTTTAGTATCTTAGTTACTAATCTCACCTTTTACATATAGCTCTATAATCAAATATGAGTTATTTTTTGTGTATGGTATGAAATAAGAATATAAATTTATCTTTATGCATGTCCTCCAAATGTCTTTCAGACCTCCAAATGGATAAACAAATTGTGGCATACTTATACAATGGAATACTATACAGTGATCAAAATTAATGAACTAGACAGACATGTTTACAACAGAATAATACAACAAAGAAAATGAACAAATTTGAGCTACATAGATAATAATACTCACAAATGTGAGAGGAATTATCAAGATGGAAAAATACATTCAGTATAATCTCATTTACATAAAGTTCAAGAAAAATATTTTTAATATATTGTAATTTGTTACATTGGTGATAAAACTCTACAGTGAAACATATGAGTGATCATCATAACAATTGGGATAATCAGGAGGGAGGAGATAAACGGGAAATGTCAGCAAGAAGACATATATTGGGAGTGTCTGGATTACTGGCAAATTCTATTTTCTGACCAAGGTGTGGTAACATCGATGTTAATGTTATAATTTTTTCTCTTACTGTTTATTAGGTTTTATTATGCTCCATATGTAAGTTATGCTCCCCAATAAAAAAAAAAAAGTTAAAAAAGCAGAAACATAAAATACATTCCTACATATAAAATTAGGGTGATACAGCATATTCTTATAGATACCATTGTTATTAGAGTATTTGCTGAATAAAGGAGAATAGAGCATTATGGTACTAAGAAATCCAAGTTAAAATTTAAAATTTTTCTTATTGTTTTGAGACAGGGTCTCTCTCTGTTGCCCAGGCTGGAGTGCACAAGCAGAATCTTGGCTCAGTGCAACCTCTGCTATCCAGGCTCAAGTAATTCTCCCATCTCAGCTTCCAGAGTAGCTAGGACAACAGGAGTGCACCACCACGCCCTGCTAATTTTTTCTATTTCTGGTAGAGACAGGGTTTTGGCATGTTTCCCAGGCTGGACTTGAACTCCTGTGCTCAGGCAATCCAACTGCCTCAGCCTTCCAAAATGCTGGGATTACAGATGTGAGCCACTAGACCTGTCCTGAAAATTTTCTTAAATTATTATTTTTTGAAAAAGAAGACATAAGCAAGAACTGTAAATCCACCTTCTTAATGCTAATATGAATTTGAAACATCAAAACTTGAATATTTATGACGGCTAGACACCTTTTTTCTCTTTCCAATTTAATTATTTTTAATACAGATTTCAAAGTGTCACAAAGTCATGAATTTCCAATAAATTATACTACGATGGAGGTTAAATACATAGACCTATTATCCCAAAATGTGTCTCTAAATGAAATATTTGTATTCATATTGTTAGCATTCTAATTTCACAATACTAATCATGTGTACACCTGTGTGTTGGGTAAAATATTTTGTTAATATAAATTTTTTGGTTCTGCATTAGAGAAAAAAATCATAGAAAGGCAAATTTAAGATATAAAACATATTTAGCATGATCTTTGAGCATGTTTGTGCATATAAAATGCTACTTTGACTGCTATAGTAAAATCCAGATTTAGTCACCATAGCTAAGAATGTGAAAAAGCCTTGCAAGAATTTGGCTTGCTAATGATGCTATTAAAAGATGAAATAAAGTTGATATACTGTATTATTGCAGAGAGTATTTTTCTATATTCATATTGAAAAATGCCCAAAAAGCCCCAAAATAGAATCCTAATTGTCGGATGTCACTTTTGCTATGAATTTTTAAAATGTAGTAAAAGAAAAAAAAAGCAAAGAAATTCTTGAAAATATGTTGGTTTTACATTATTCTTGATGAACTACCACATGAGGATACTTCTCTAGGCCTGATGCTGAGAATCATAGAAGAAACATGAGGCCATGAGGAAGAATAGTAGGGTTCTCTCACTACCCTGAACTCCAGTACTTAAAAAACAAGATGGAAATCACATTTATCAAATAGCATTCTCCCTTTTACCTGCCATAATTATTATCATCATCATCTATATATACATCTCATTAAATGATTTATTTTTGAAATATTTAAATACATAGCATTAGGAGATATACCTAATGCTAAATGACGAGTTAATGGGTGCAGCACACCAGCATGGCACATGTATACATATGTAACTAACCGGCACATTGTGCACATGTAACCCTAAAACTTAAAGTATAATAATAATAAAGAAATAAAAAATAAAAAAAATAAAAAAACACAAAAAAAGAAAAGTTAATTTAAAAAATACGTAATTTGGAAAATAAGTAATTTTAAAAAGACCGTCATTGTGGGAAAATTACAGGAGTAAACAGCAAAGCTTAGTCATGCTCAATACATGTAGATTTAGAAATTAGGTATAGCTTATTTTACAATATATTGCTTAAGCAAATAATTATTTATGGATGAGCTTAAACTAATCCTTGTTTCATTATGATCACTATAGAAACAATTTAGATTTTAGTGTAACTAAAACTACCCAATAAGAAGGATAAAGCAAATAATACATTTTATGAGCTAGCTTTTATTTCTAAGAGAGGATTTTAGGACCAAATAGTCAAACAGAGTTAAGACCTCAGATCTTCTGTCACACTTGTGTGAGTGATGGTGGAGTTTGAAAGTTATAGTTCTATAAACAAAACTATACTATGGATAGGGATTAAATGGTGGAATTCTTTAGAAACACCAGATTCAGTTTTGTTTCCATGAGACTTAAAAGTTCTTCAATCTTTCATAAACTTGTATGTACTGTTTTACTCTTTGATCTTTTGAAGATTGTTATAAATGAAGAAGTCTTGATTTCTGCTAATGAAAACAGAGTAAAATTTAAATCATGGAATAGAAAGGTGGAGCTGTAGTTGAGATACTCTATTTTATTAATTGTAATGACAGTTTGAGATCCAGTGCTGTTCACTGAATTTCCCTTTGAGGAGAGTTTGTGGTGATGACCCAGCAACAGACAAGTTACTATTCAAAAGAAGCTACTCACATCAAATCAATTTCCAGTTTCTTCCCAGTGGCAGGAGAATGCCTAGACCATAATTTTGATCTCTTCTGTGACCTAAGTATTACAAAAAGAAGAAAATCACTAAAATTTTCATGTCAGGTGTACTAAAAATTTATAAAAACTATTTTTTAAGAACTTGGTGTTATAAATACTTTGTTTAGTTTCTCCATTAAAAATGATTTATAGCAAGAGAATAAAAGTTCATTTCTACCCCTAAAACAATAAGATAAAAAAGAGTAATGAATATTGAGAATCCAATAGACAGAGTTGAGAACCAGTTAAACATAAGAAAGAATTAGTGAATTGGAAGATAACTGCCCAGAATGAAGCATAAAGAGACCAAGAGGTAGAAAATATAAGGCTAGAGGGTCAGAGACATTGAAGCTACAATCAGAACAACTAACATACTTCTGCAGTTCCAGAAGATTAGAAGAGAGAAAATGGGCCAGAAGCATTGTGGAGATTTTTCCAAAAGTGGTAAAGTGTATCAGTTCATATATTTTTAGAAACCATCAAACTTCAGACAAGATAACTAAAACCAAATTAATATAAAATGACAGGACATCAAAGACCAATAAAAAACCTGAAAGGTAACTAAAGGAAAAGACAGATTATGTTAAAGGGAATAACTGTCTAAATGACAACCTGATTTTCAACAGACAAAAATGAAGCTAGAATTCAATGGAATCATGCCTTCAGTGCATTTCAAAAGTAGAATAGACCTTGATAAACAGAAACTTAAAATGATATTTTTTTCAGATAATAGAAAAATTATTATTATTATCAGTATTATTCTATGTGGAGTTGGAGTCTCAATCTGGTGTCCAGGCTGGAGTTCAGTGGTAGGATCATGGCTTACTGCAGTCTGGAACTCCCGGGATCAAACCATCCTCCCACCTCAGCCTTGTGAGTAGCTTCCTTATGCCTGGCTTTTTCATTTATTGTAGACACAGTTTCGCTGTGTTGCACAGGCTGGTCTTGAACTCCTGGGTGTTCCTGACTCAGCCTTACAAAATGTTGAGATTATGGGTGTGAGCCACCCTGCCTTGCCAATAAAAGGACTTTTTGAAACTATTAAATTGAATATGCAAAAAGGAATACAAATTAATGAAGTGGTAAATATGTGCATAATTCTAAATGAATGTTTACTGCATAAAATAATAATGTCTTGTTGGGGTAATTATATAATTGATAAGATATATGCAAATGGCAAAAAATAGAATGGAGGTAAAGCTGACAGGAGTACATTTAGTTAAATTATCTTTTAAACTTTTCTATGTCTATGAGGATATTTTGCACAATGACCCTGTAATTCTACTCAAAGGTATATATACAGAGGAATTGCATCAAATGATATATGAAAGAATGCTCTAGTAGAATTATTCGTAACTGTTCAAAAAAGAAGCTGGCCAAATATATATTAAGGATAGATCAATCATTACAGTAAATCCACACAATGGAACAATATAGAGAAGTGAAAAAAAATCACATGTACTTGCAACTATGTGACTAAATTTCAGAAACACAATGTTGAGTCCAAGAAGCCACAAACAAGAAGAACATGTAGGATTGCACCTACACACAGTGCAAAGCAGGCCAGACCAAGCGATGGAGTTTAGGGTTGCATACCTAGTTGGTAAAGTGTAAAGAAAATTAAGGAAATAATCACCATAAATTTTGGATATTGCTTATCTCAGGAGGTATGAAGAAATGTTTAGGGACTTGGAAAGTGGCATGGAGGTGGACCTAGGTTGTGTTTGGTGTTCCTTGTCTTGCCTGCATCATGGTTACTTGAATGTTTATGATACACTGCAGTATTTCCCATTTTTGTTTTGGTTCATTTCTAAGTGTGCATTATAATTTTAATGTAAAATGTTTAATTAGGAGATATGTCTCATAGAAATTATTATTATTCATCTCATTATATACTGATGGCAATAATAAACTATTTGTATACATTGTTATACAACTCTAAGGGAGTTGAAGTGAGCACTTTCTTATTTAGTTGCAACGTGAGGAAATTTGAGATGATGTTATCCTCCAACCCCAGAACTTTCCAATGGATTTCTTCTAGCCTTAATTATCGACCTCACAAGAACAAACCTTTGCAATTTCCCATCTATTTTTGCTTTTGGCTCCTGAATTCCTGACACAACAAGGTTGTACATATTTCCCACACTCTTGGTTTAGCAGAGTTGATTTATCAGTTATGTTTTTCTGCAAGAGAAAAACCCTCCAAACTACATTAGATGTTTATATCTCACATGTTGTTGGATTTCATTTTTTTTAAGCTGGGTTTGGTGGATGGCTCTGTTTATTTGAAATGGACCAAATTCTGAATCTTGGTAGTAGTTAGAGTTTGGCCAATTTGGTCTGGATCAGGTGGGGGCAATCTGACTTCATTAGTTTCTCACTCTCCTTCTGGGAACAGTGTACTAGCCAGGTGATATTCTCATGGTAAATGGAAAGAGGAAGAATCCCCATTATGGAAGCCATCTGAAATCTCTATGCAAAGTGTAGTAATTTTCTGTTTATCAAAGCAAGTTAAATGGTTGTACTCCAAGTTCAGGGGCAAGGTAGTCAGTCTTCTCAGTGATGGCAGGATACTGCAAGACTATATATCAAAGGGTTGGGTACTCAGGAATTCTTATACAATTGCTAAATGTTTTGTATAGTAATAAATATTTAAACATTAGTCTTGAGAGAAACTTTACCAAAGGCCTAAGAATTAGAGATATGTTTGATAAATAAATATTATTCATGAGCTGAAAGCCCTGAGTGGGAAAATAGGACTAACTTCACCTAGACAACCTCCTGGAAACTCCTTTTTTTATTTTGGAACTGATGAGAAAATAATTTGTTCCATTCGTGAGTGGTGTGCACATGTGTGTGTTTGTGTGTGTATTTATGAGCTTGTGAATAATGAAGTTATACAAACGTATTAGCAGCAACCAGATTCTGAGGTTCTCCAGAAAATCTTAGATATTTTTGATAAAAGCAGTTTGGATTCTGTGTATTTAAATCTGTCATTTAAAAAAGTCCATATAGGTGATGAACTTAATTATGACCAAGCTCCTTTTAAGAATTTAGACATTTACTATATGATCTCTGTATTGGGTTATAAAACTTCCCTAACAACTGAAGTCACTAAAGACAAATGATGGAGAGGTTACACAAGGAAAAATTGCAAACACTGAAAGTGAATATGTCCTTGTTTGCATACTAGCAAATGAGAATTCAGGTTTCATGTCAACTTCAGTATGAATAATTCCAGCCTATAACAAGGACAGACAGTGAATGAATGGGTTAATTTGAGTTGTTTTGAAAATAAGAATATTTTCCATAAAGAGAGCGTTGAACTTACCCATTAGCATGCCATGGTGATTTCTGGCTTGACATTGGTAACAACAATTAAAAGTAAAAAGAATGTCACAGCACATACACAAATCAGGTGCATATAGAATTTAAGGTCAGGATATTCAAGCAATCACAACCAGTGATATTACACCAGCATTTTAAAAATTTCTTTTTGTCTGTTCAGACATGATAACTTTTCTGCCCATCATTTTTTCCATTCTAATAGTGGTTACATTTGTGATTGGAAATTTTGCTAATGGCTTCATAGCATTGGTAAATTCCATTGAGTGGTTCAAGAGACAAAAGATCTCTTTTGCTGACCAAATTCTCACTGCTCTGGCAGTCTCCAGAGTTGGTTTACTCTGGGTATTAGTATTAAATTGGTATGCAACTGAGTTGAATCCAGCTTTTAACAGTATAGAAGTAAGAATTACTGCTTACAATGTCTGGGCAGTAATCAACCATTTCAGCAACTGGCTTGCTACTAGCCTCAGCATATTTTATTTGCTCAAGATTGCCAATTTCTCCAACCTTATTTTTCTTCACTTAAAGAGGAGAGTTAAGAGTGTTGTTCTGGTGATACTATTGGGGCCTTTGCTATTTTTGGTTTGTCATCTTTTTGTGATAAACATGAATCAGATTATATGGACAAAAGAATATGAAGGAAACATGACTTGGAAGATCAAACTGAGGAGTGCAATGTACCTTTCAAATACAACGGTAACCATCCTAGCAAACTTAGTTCCCTTCACTCTGACCCTGATATCTTTTCTGCTGTTAATCTGTTCTCTGTGTAAACATCTCAAAAAGATGCAGCTCCATGGCAAAGGATCTCAAGATCCCAGCATGAAGGTCCACATAAAAGCTATGCAAACTGTGACCTCCTTCCTCTTGTTATGTGCCATTTACTTTCTGTCCATAATCATGTCAGTTTAGAGTTTTGAGAGTCTGGAAAACAAACCTGTCTTCATGTTCTGCGAAGCTATTGCATTCAGCTATCCTTCAACCCACCCATTCATCCTGATTTGGGGAAACAAGAAGCTAAAGCAGACTTTTCTTTCAGTTTTGTGGCATGTGAGGTACTGGGTGAAAGGAGAGAAGCCTTCATCTTCATAGATTCACAAGAGCAGCATTGTGTATCTTCTAGCAGAAAACAAACGTGTTATATGAAGCATTTTATATTTCTTACTGTGTTTTCTGTAATGTATGTATATGAATAACTTTCAAGCATGTACCTAGAAAAGTCTTTTACCTAACGTTAGTCTAAAAAAGTGCGTATGTATATATATGTATTTTTGTGTGTATGTTTGTATGAAAAACAAAAGAACATTGACAGTGACATACTCTTTTTTGTTTTTTCACACAAACTGCCAAATTATACAAAATATGACAAAAATTCTTAAGAATTATGAATCCATACCTATTTCATTTATGTATTTTATATTTCATTTGAATAATTTATGATCTATATTTATAATTATTAAGAACTATCAGCTTATCTCAGGAAAGACATTGCTGTTTTCTATTGTTATTTGAACCACACAAATATACCACAGTGTGCTTCGAATTCATTGTTTGAACCTGTAACTTTTTGGATGGTAAGGTCATTCAATTCTAAATCAATAATAAGGATGTGTCTTTGAGGTTTTATTCCATTATGAATTCCTATTTTATGTTTAGTAAAAAGCAATCAGAATTATTGATAGAAAACAATGCACACAATAAAATTTGAGTGACAAGCATATGTAGAGTAAGTTTCAACTATGTCTACCATAAACAGTTCTGAGGAATATTAGATTTAATACAAGCATGTGAATAGCTTAGAAAACAATCTCTTCTATAATAGGGATGAAAAATCATGATTGTGATCTTGATTGCTATTATCAGTTTCCATATGTAGTTAGAAAAGTCATTTCTTCCAGCTTTTGGATTAAAGAAAAGCTTTTTTTTAGAAGTTGAGAGGTGATGTAAACTATTTTAGTATTTTTTTCTAAAGCACTTTTAAGCCCCTGAATTGTTAATTATACCCTTACCTTCCATTTATAAAATTCCTTCTAAACTTCAGGTAACAGAACCCAAATCTTCCTTATTCTAAAAAAAAACTATCAATGTAAAAATAGTATAGAAATTATGGAAAATAAATCAATGAAATTTTTGTAAATGTTAAAATGGCATCTATGAAATCTATGTTTTAATTATAGAATGTGCTTTACAGTTATAATTTTGTTGTCAATGATGAAATGAAAGTGGTTGACATATTCATTAATAGGAAGTTCTATTATGAGATGGAAATGTACAGTCTTGTTCACAGCTAAATTCTACATGACTGTATTAATTTTGGTGTTATGAAATTTTAAAAATGTGATTTAAACCTTAAGATAAATCATCCCCACATGTGATTTATGTGTTTTTTTAAAATCATGTATCTTCCTCAGTACAATGTAAGAACTGTAAAATCAGATCAGAGATGATCTCATCTCTGTCTTGCTTTCTGTTGAATGTAAGATCAGAGAGCAAGATGATCTCATCTCTTTCTTGCTTTCTGTTGACTCCCAGGACCTAGAACCCAGCAACAAGAATAGATGGTCAAAAATGATATTTTAATGAACAAATAAATGGGTGGATAAAATGGGTAAGCTGATGTGGTAAACCAATGAAAGGGAAACTCATCACAAAATCTGCAGTTGCATGAGTTCCCCTGTTCTGTTCTCAGGTTAAGGTTACAGGCTTATCCAAGCAGAATCCTTCCGCAGAGGAAAAGTTTGGCTATTCCACAATTTTAGGGGAAATATGACAATAATATAGTCTTGATGCAGCTGTATCAGGTGTCTGAATTGGAGACAAGGTAGAACATCAAAATTAGATGGCGCCTATTACAATATTTTTAGAAAGCGTATAAACAACCTTGGTCTATTTGAATATGTATTTTTTTCTATTGTGAATTATATATTTGTATTATGATATTTTCTAGTTGATTATTATTTAAACAAAAATGGCATTTCATTTTAAAAATTGAGTTAGTAACCAGCTACTTTACTAAAATGTTTTTTATGTATTACCTGTTATTAAGGTGATGACATTTATTTAGAAATCAAGTTCAAGACAAAAATGGCAAGGATATGTGGAAATTGAGACAGGAACAAATGTGAAACAATGTGTGGTGATGTCTGGTATGACTCTGCTGGCAGCCACTTCACAGTGAGGTGAGAGAGACAGCATGACGGTCATCAGATGCGTACACTTGGCTCCCAGCACTTTTCCAGAAGGGCTACAAGGGGAAACCACAGCCGGCATTAGTCCAGGGATGAGAGAGAGGAGGGAGAATGGAGAATGTATCTGCTCAGTTGTCTTCTGTATTTGATTTCCCATTGGCCATTGTTTCCCTGAGGCAGAACTACCATCTCTGCTGTTCTGCCTTCCATCATCCAGTCCCTAGGTGGAGGTTGTGAAAGTCAGACCTCATGCCCACAGTGTGGTGTTCCATTCAAGTCCCAAATGGAAGGATGATCTGGATCAGGCAAGGTGCTGGCCAGGGGAATAGGAGATAGTGAAGGGAATCTAAGAAAGCACATGTCTGTGTCCAATACCACCACTCTTTGTGCCGCTCAGATGTACTCATGCCCTCCAGTCATGGCTGGCTTTATGAGCATATGACTTGCACAGTTGCACAGAGGATACTCCTCTGCTGAAGAGGGAATGGTCTTGCACTAATTCCATAGGGATTTGCTCTCCCCTCTCCCACAGGCTTGTCAGAGACGTGCACAGAGTCCTATAATGCCCACTATGTATGCCTCTAACAGCTTTGAATTCTGCTGGATCATTTGGCTCAGTGGCCATAGCAGTTTGGATCAGAACCTATATCTGCTGTAGAGCCCTCTTTTGTTCTGGGCTCCATTTGAGACCAGTAGCCTATAGAAACTTCATTAATGAGTCAGAGCAATATTCTCAAATGTGGAATATGTTGGCTCCAAAATCCCAGTAGGCCCCCAAAACACTGTGTCTCTTTTGTAGTGATAGGAAATATAGAGAGAGAGCAACATGCCGTTTACTTTAAAAAAGATTGTTTTGACATGTGGACTAGGGACACTGAAAACCTGAAAACATCACCTATGTTGTCAGTCCCTGAATCTTCACATATCTCTTTTCTTCTGGTATTTTACTTCCATTCAATGTTATAGTATTTTACAATATTAAGAATCTTGCCTCTTCCTGTTTATTTTACCAAATAATATATAATTATTATTTGAGACAGGGTCTCATTCTGTCCATGAGGCTGGAGTGCAGTGGCAGGATCATAGCTCATTGCAGCCTCAACCTTCTGGGCTCAGTTGATTCTCCCTCCTCAGCATTGCTAGCAGCTGGGACTGCAGGGACACACCACCTTGCCTGGCTAATTTTGGTATTTTTTGTAGGGCTGGGATTTCACCATGTTACCCAGGCTGGTTTCAAACTCCTGGGCCCAAGTCAGCCTCCTAAAGTGCTGGAATTACAATCATGTGCCACAGGGCCCGGGCTGTAATATTATTAATATATTAAATTAGCATGATGTTTTTAAAAAAATGTAAATTAAACAGAGAACAGAAGTGACATAGTCCTGACATAAAACAGTGAAGCAGTGCTATTATTCTTACAATACAAGGCAAATTGTCTTGATTTTCCCTCATAAAGGGTGTAGATTAACAAATATTCACCAAATGACGAGCCCCGTAAAAAGTGCCAGAAGCTATGCTCTGCTCTGTGAAGACAGTACATCCTAGAAAGCATTTGTGAGTGTTGATTGAAGTTTATGGTAATCTGCACTCATTCTATAATCCATCTGGTTTTGGTAGAGGCCAGATAGGTTAAGTGAATCCAGTTATAGAAAGGTCTACCATCCCCTGTAACTTGCAAGTGTTTTGTCACGGCAGTGACCAGTTCCATTCCTTAGGGAATGCGGTTATTATATTTTATACATTGGGTTGCCAGCAGTGGAGAATTTCAGAGGCTTCAACTTGGTCCTGCTATAATAATGTCCCTTACTCTACAGTTCACGAAGAATGTGAAAGTCCTGCCAGCTGCCATACGTATCCAGTTCAATTACACGTTCAGGAAGAGGTAGTAACTACAAACTGATTAGATCCACCTTGGGATGGACATGAGACGAAGCTCTAGGTAGCATCTGACCTTCAAAACCTCCCCCTGCAGGCTGGATGTGATGGCTCATGCCTGTAGTCTTAGTAGTTTGGGAGGCCAAGGTGGGAGAATCCCTTGAGAGCAGGAGTTCCCTTTGCAACATATGGAAACTCCATGTCTACAAAAAATTGAAAAATTAGCTGGCGTGGTGCTGCATGCCTATAGTTCCAAATACTTGGGAAACTGAGGCAGGAGGATTGCTTGAGCCCAGGGTTTCAAGGCTGTAGTGGGCTATGATCCTGCCACTGTACTCCAGCTTGGGTAACAGAGGGAGACTCTGTCTAAGAAGAAAAAAAAAAAAGTGAAAGTTCTTACTGGTGTCTTAAATATCAAGTAAAACAGGTTCAAATCAATAATTAACAATCTTTGGTTCCTGCCTATAGCAAAAAGGTAAAATGGAAAGCAGTTATACAAATAGTATGTTAACTCATAAGAAAACTAGCCAAAGACAGATTTATTATCATCTGCTTTTTTTGTTGTTGTTTTCTCGAGACGGAGTCTAGCTCTGTCTCCCAGGCTGGTGTGCAGTGGTGTGATCTCGACTAACTACAACCTCCACCTCCTGGGTTCAAATGATTCTTTTGCTGCAGCCATCTGAGTACCTGGGATTACAGACGGGTACTACCACACCTGGCTAATTTTTGCATTTCTAGTGGATATAGAGTTTCACCATGTTGGCCATGCTGGTCTTGAAGTCCTAACCTCAGGTGATCCACCTGCCTCAGCCTGCCAAATTGCTGGGAGCCACGGGCCTGGCCAATCATCTGCTTTTTATAGGTGATAATACTGAGGCAGGGAGTAGTTGTAAAATGGAGTCTCAGATCATAGCTATACCAAGCAGGGAATCTGGTTTCCTGTCCTGGCAGTCTGACTCCAAGATCCCCTCTTAGAAACCATCATACTGTAAAAACTGAAAAGAAATAAAAATCCAAGATTGGAGACTGATTTTAACATCTATTCATCTAAACCATTAAGTAATCAAAAATGAATTAAATAGAGGAAAATACAACTGACTATTCATACACAGAGAAGTGTAGACTCTTCAATGGAAAACATGTTTTTTAAGTGCCCAAGGAATAGTTATAAAATTGCTGAGTATTTTAATTAAACAACTAATATTTAAGTATTAGGCTCAAGAGAATAATTTAGTCAAAGTCCTAAATATGAGAGGCTAAGTTTGATAAAGATTGAAAATGCACTGAAAAGCCCAAGTAAGAAAATTATTTTTTCATTTTAGAAATTATAGGACAATAATATTTCCCAACTATGAGGTGTGTGTATGTGTGTGTGTGAACGTGTTTGTGTTAATGAGCTTGTTAACAATAAGTTATACAAAATTATTAGTTGGCAGCAACCAGATTTTTAGGAATATTGGCCTTCCTGGGCTTCCCAAGAAAACGCTGGATGCTTTTGGTAGGAAAAGTTAGGACTCACTAAATCTGGCACAGAAAAGGTGAATCAACAGTGGTCGTGATTCTAGTTTTGACCGAGCTGCATATAACAGTGTAGGCATCTGATGTACGATCTATGTATTAGGTTAGAAAATTTCCCTTACAACTGCCATTGCTCAGCACAAATTATAGAGAGGTTAAACAAGGAATAAATGGCAAAATGATGAATAAGAATATGACCTGATTTGCATGCTGGCAAATGAGAATTCAGCTTTTACTTCAACATCAGCATGAAACATTTTATCTTATAACAAGGTCACAGCATTTGAATAGGAGTTAATTTGAGCTGTTTTGGAAATTATCATGTTTTCCATTAAGACAGCCTTGAACTCATTCAGTAGCATGGCCCGGTGCGTTCCTGCTTGACATTAGTCAGAGAATTTAAAAGGAACAAGAACATTACAGCACAATCAGAAATCAGGTGCACATAGAAATTAAGGTCAGGACCTTAAAGGGAATATTGCCCATTGATATTAGGCCTGCCTTAAAAAAATTCAGACATGGTATGTTTACTACTCATCATTATTATCCATAACAGTAATGGTAGAATTTGTATTTTCCCATAGGCACCTTCATTACACTTATATACTGATTTGATATTTCAACATATTATTTTCTTTGGGTCCTTTTAAGTAGTTGTTAAACAATGCTGAAAGTTGCCTTACAGTATGCTGTTAACTAATCATATTTTCTCAAAGTCATTTGGCATAATATTTGGTTAAAAGAAGTATGTCTAGTATAATTACATGTGTTCATAATAAAAGAGCACTTAAAACTTTAAAAAATATTAGAAAAACGAATAAAGGAAAATGAATACATATATAAAATATATAATTCATTATTAATAAATGTGCATAAAATCACACTCATAGAATTTAAAAAGAGTAACAATTTTTGAATTAAGGTTACATTCTAAATTATAATAGAAAAAGGCTTATAAAATGTTAGTTTTAATAATACTTTATGTAAATATTATTGAGTTTCCTGCTTCATACATGTCCCTGCAAAGGACATGATCTCATCCTTTTTTATGGTTGCATAGTATTCTATGGTGTATATGTGCCACATTTTCTTTAGCCAATCTATCATTGATGGACATTTGGGTTGGATCCCAGTCTTCACTATTGTGAATAGTGCCGCAATGAACATACGTGTGCATGTGTCTTTATAGTAGCATGCTATTTAATCCTTTGTGTAGATAGCCAGTATTGGAATCACTGGGTCAAATGGTATTTCTAGCTCTAGATCCTTGAGGAATCACTACACTGTCTTTCATAATGGTTGAAGTAATTTACACTCCCACCAACAGTGTAAAGCGTTCCTATTTCTCCACATCCTCTCCAGCATCTGTTGTTTCCTGGCTTTTTAATGATCGCCATTCTAACTGGCATGAGATAGTATTTCATTGTGGTTTTGATTTGAATTTCTCTGATCACCAGTGATGATGAGCATTTTTTCATGTGTCTGTTGGCTGCATAAATGTCTTCTTTCGAGAAGTGTCTGTTCATATCCTTTGCCCACTTTTTGATGGGATTTTTTTATTGTAAATTTGTTTAAGTTCTTTGTAGATTCTGGATATTAGCCCTTTGTCAGATGTGTAGATTGAAAAATTTTCTCCCATTCTGTAGGTTGTCTGCTCACTCTGATGGTAGTTTCTTTTGCCGTGCAGAAGCTCTTCAGTTTAATTAGATCCAATTTGTCTATTTTGGCTTTTGCTGCCAGTGCTTTTGGTATTTTCGTCCTCAAGGCCTTGCCTATGTCTATGTCCTGATCTTTCATATCACTGAGTTTTAATAGCTAAAGTTGAGAAGTCTCTCAAATTTCCGTCAGTGATAAAATGTATAAATAAATTATGGCACACTTGTACAATAGAACACTATACAGCAATCAAAATGAACCAACTAGAGAGACAAGTTTACAAAGAATATAAATAAAAAGGAAAATGAACGTATTTGGACAACATCGATATGAGAGGAATTATTAAAATTGAAAAAAGATTCAGTATAATTCCATTTATATAAAGTTTACAAAAAATATTTTTAATAAATTACAATTTATTACATTGGTGGCGAAATTCTAAAGTGAGACATGTGAGTGATTATCATAACAATTGGGATAGTAGGGATGGAGGAAACAAAAGGGAAATGATATCAACAGGAAGGCATATATGGGGAGTGTCTGGATTGCTGGCAAATTCTACTTTATGACCAAGATGTGATAACATGACTCTTAATGCCATAATTTTTTAATTTACTGTACATTTAGGCTTTATTACTTTATAAATATGCTTCACAATAATGAAAATACTTAAAAAGCAAATCATATAATAAATAAATATAAAATAGGCTGAAAAAACATATTCTTATAGACATCATGATAATTAGAGTTTTGCTGAATAAAGAAGAATAGAGCATTATGATAGTAAGAAATCCAAGATAAAATTTTAAACTTTTCTTTAAATATTTTAAAAAGTAAGAGATAAGCAGGAAGTCTACCTCCACATTCTTAATGTTAGTTTTACTATGAAACATCAGATTCTGGCCGGGTGCGGTGGCTCATGCCTGCAATCCCAGCACTTTGGGAGGCCAAGTTGGGTGGATCACGAGGTCAGGAGATGGAGACCATCCTGGCTAACACGGTGAAACCCCCTCTCTACTAAAAATACAAAAAATAAGCCAGGCCTGATGGCAGGCGCCTGTAGTCCCAGCTACTCCGGAGGTTGAGGCAAGAGAATGGCATGAACCTGGGAGATGGAGCTTGCAGTGAGGCAGAGCTTGCAGTGAGGCGGAGCTTGCAGTGAGGCGGAGCTTGCAGTGAGGCGGAGCTTGCAGTGAGGCAGAGCTTGCAGTGAGCCGAGATCTCGCCACTGCACTCCAGCCTGGGTGACAGAGCAAGACTCCGTCTCAAAAAAAAAAAAAAAAAAAAAAAGAAACATCAGATTCTGAGCATCTGTATTACACTAGACACCTTTTTTTCTTATTTCCAATTTCATTATTTATGATAACATTTCAAAGAGGCAGAAATTAGTGAATTTCCAATAAATTATAGTAATATAGATATTAAATACACAGGACAATTTTTATAAATTTATCTCTAAATGAAATAATTATGCCCATTTTTACCATTCAAAGATTATACCATGCATGTGTACACATATGTGAGGAAAAATATTTTGATAGTACAAAGTTTTTGAATATTAGAGAAGAATTAGTAGAAAGATAATTTTGTTGAGGCATAAAGCATATTTAGTGTAACTACTTTGACTGCTGTAATAAAATCACCCAGATTTTGTGACAGTAGCTGAGATTAAAAATAAACAGTAGAGAGAATTTCACTTGTTAATAATGCTATTAAAAGATGAAGCTTATACACTTTATAATTGCACAGAGTATTTGTGTAAGTTCATATAAAAGTGGAATAAAATTAAACAGCCAAAAAGAGAGTATTCTTTGCTAGAGGTCACTTTTGGGGTAATTTTTAGAATGTGGTAAAAGAAAAAATATCTTCCAAATCATTAGAAATATGTTGATTTTGTGTTACTCTTGATGAAATACTATGTGAGGGTATTTGTCTAGGCCTGATTCTGAGAATAATATAAGAATCGAGCCAGGCACCATGGCTCATGGTTGTAATCCCAGCACTTTGGAAGTTGAGACTGGTGGATCACCTGAGGTCAGGAGTTCCAGACCAGCCTGGCCAATATAGTGAAACCCACTGTCTACTAAAAATATAAAAATTAGCTGGATGTGATGGACAGCACCTGTAATCCCAGCTACTTGGGAGGCTGAGGCAGGAGAATCAATTGAACCTTGGAGGCGGAGGTTGCAGTTAGCTGAGATTGTGCCATTGCACTGCAGCCTGGGTGACAAGAGCGAAACTCCATCTCACACACACACACACACAAAATGTAAAGCCATGAGGATGAATAATAGTGTTCTCCCACCACCCTTAACTCTAGTGCTTTGAAAAGAAGACTCGAATCACAATTATTTAGTAACATTCTCCCTTTCAGGTGACATCATCATCATTATTATCATCATCTACATTTACATCTGTCTTATTAAATGATTTATTTCTGAAATATTTACATACATAATTTGGGTAACGTCTATGTAATTTCCAAGAGATATCATTGTGGGAAAGTTACATTAGTAAACAGCAAAGTTCATGTCAGGCTGAATACATTGAGATTTAGAAAGTTAAGTGTAGTGTAGTGTAGTTTAAAATACATTGCTTAAGAAAACAATTATAGATGATATTAAACTAATCCAAGGAACACTATAAAAAGATTTTGATTTTAGTATAAATAAAATTGCTTAGTAAGAAAAATAAATAAACCATTTCATGATCAAGCTCTTATTTCTAAAGAGAGGATTTTAGGGCTAAATAAATCAAACAGAAGTAAGCTCTCCCCCACATCTTGTCTATATCATTTGGATAATGATGTAATTCAAAGGCACAGAGCACCTTTTCAACAACATAAGCAAAGTGAAAATTATGTCATGGAATACAATGATGTATCTGTGGTTAATGAACTATATTTTATCTATTGCAATGATATTTTGAAATCCAGTGCTGCTCTTTGAGTTCCCTTTGAGCAGAGTTTGTGGTGGGGACCCAGCAACAGACAAGCTAATATCCAAAAAAAGGTACTCACATCAACTTAATTTCCAGTTTCTTTCAAATTGAAGGTAAATTCTAACACAAAGCTTTTATTCTATTCTCTGACTAAAGTGTTGGGAAAAGAAGAAAATTGTTACCGTTTTCATTTCTAACATACTAAAACAAAAAAAAAAATCAAAAAAATCAGAAACATTTTTAAAAAGAACAGAGTGTTAAGAGTAGTTTGTTCAGTTTTCCTATAGAAAATAATGTTCAGAAAGAGAATAAAAGATTATTCTGAACACTAAAACAATAAGACTAAAAAAATGAAATATCAGTACTGAGAATCCAATAGAAAGAGTCAACCAGTTAGAGCACTAGAAGAGATAATTAGTGAATTAGAAGATAGCTACACAGAATGAAGCATAGAGAGAAAGAAATGGAAAATGCAAGGCTAGAGGGTAACACACTGATGCTATCATCAAAACACCTAACATACTTGTAGAGTTCTGTAAGATTAGAGGAGAGAAAACAGAGCGAGAGAAATGTTGCAGGGATTTTTCCAAAAGTGAAAATGTATCCCAGCATATATCTTTAGTAATCACAAACTTCAGGCATGATAACTAAAATCAAGTTAACAAAAAATAATACAGGACACCAAAGACCAGTAGAAAATCTGAAAAGTAGCTAGAGGTAGAAGATAGAGTATGTTGATAAGAACTGCATTCTAAATACAACCTGATTTTAACAGAAAATATGGAAGGAGGAATTCAATGGAATCATGTCTTCAGTGTGTTTCCAAAGAGTAGTAGACCTTCATAAACAGAAATTGAAAATGATATTTTTCAGATATAATAAAAATTACTGAAAATACAAAGTTGAACATGCAAGGAGCAATAAAAATTAATGACGAAAAATAAGTGTGTAATTCTAAATAAATGTTGACTGTATAAAACAATATTGTCTTGTTGGATTAAATGTATAATTGATAAGATATATGCAAATAGCAATAAAGAGACTGGAGATAAAGGTGACAGGAATAAATTTAGTCAAACTGTGTTTTGGGCTTTTCTATGTCTGTGAGGAGAATTTGAATGTCATAATCAAGGACGCTGTAATTCTACACCCAGCTATATATATGCAAAGGAATTGTAGCAAATGATATGTGAAAGAATGCTCATTGTAGAATTATTCTAACAGCTCAGAAAAGAAGCTGCCCATATGTACATCAAATAAGGATGAATAAATAATTACAATAAAATCATAAAATGGAAAAACATAGAGAAGTGAAAAGAAATGAATCACATGTACATGCAGTTATGTGATTACATTTCAGATCCATAATGTTGAGCACAGGAAGCCATGAATACGAACATATAGGATTGTATCTATACAGAGTTCCAAGCAGACCAAACCAAGCTATTGAGTTTAGGGTTGCATACCTAGTTGGTAAAGTATAAAGAAAAATTTTAAAAAATGATCATCATAAATTATGGACGTTGCGTATTACAGGAGGTGTGAAGAAAGGTGTAGAGGGATGGAAACACATTGAGGTAAACCTAGGCTGTTAGCAACATTCCATGTCTTGCCCTACCTGATGGTTACATGAGTGTTTATGACATATTGCTATGTTTTCCATTTTTGTTTTGGCTCATTTCTAAGTGTGCAGTCTAGTTATAATATAAAAATTATTAATCAGAAGAAATGTTCCATGAAAATTATTATTATTCTGCTCATTATATACCAAAGGGAAAAATACACTGTATACATTCATGTACAGCTCTAAAAGATTTTAATTAGAAAATTTTTGATTTTAGTTGTGACTACTGAAAATTTGACAAGATGTTTCCTGCCAACCCCAGATTTTTCAGTAGATATTTCTTCTAGTTTTAATTATCTACTTCATGTGACAAAACATTGACATTTTCCATCTATTTTTCCCTTGGATCCTGAATTCCTGACACAACAGGGGTGGACATGTTTCCCACACGCTTGGCTTAGCAGAATACCTATATCACTTAAGTTTTTCTGCAAGAGAAAATCCTCCAAAACTGCATTAGATATTTGTGTCTCATGTGTCTTTGGATTTCATTTTTGTCAGCTAGGTTTGGTGGATGGCTGTGGTGATTGGAGATGGGCCACATTCTGCATCTTGAAGCTACTTTGGCTGATTTAGGCTGGATAAAGCAGTGGCATTCTGACTCCATTAGTTTCTCATTCTTCTTCTGGGAACAGTGTACTCACCAGATGATGTTCTCATGGTGAATGGAAAAGAGCAAGAAACTCCAATATGGAAACCGTCTTAAATCTCTGTGTAAAGTCTACTAATTTGCTGTTCACTGAAGCAAATTACATGAGTGAATTCAGAGTCCAAGTTCCAGGTAGTCACCCTGCCTGTGGTGGGAGGATACTGCAGGATTATATGACAAAGTGTAGCGTACTTAGAAATATTTGCAAAATTGCTGACTGTTTTAATTAAATAATTAATATTTAAACAAAAAACAGACTTGAGAATAAATTTACCAAAGGCCTATGTTGGGCACAGGCCCCCAAATCTGGCCATAAACTGGCCCCAGTAAACTGGCCATAAATAAAATCTCTGCAGCACTGTGACATGTTCGTGATGGCCATGACACCCATGCTGAAGGTTGTGGGTTTACCAGAATGAGAGCAAGGAACACCTGGCCCACCCAGGGCAGGAAACCACTTAAGGGTATTCCTGAGCCACAAACAATAGCATGAGCGATCTGCACCTTAAGGACATATTCCTGCTGCAGATAACTCGCCAGACCCATCCCTTTGTTTCGGCCCATCCCATTGTTTCCCCTGAAGAATACTTTCAGTTAATCTATAATCTATAGAAACAATGCTTATCACTGGCTTACTGTCAATAAATATGTGGGTAAATCTCTGTTTGGGGCTCTCAGCTCTGAAGGCTGTGAGACCCCTGATTTCCCACTCCACACACTATATTTCTGTGTGTGTCTTAATTCCTCTGGCGCCACAGGATTAGGGTCTCCACAACCGAGCTGGTCTTGGCAGGCCCAAGCATGAGAAACATGTTTGATAAATATTATTCATTGTCTGACAACCCTGAGTGGAATATGACTAATTCCACCTAGATGACCTCCTGGGGAAACTCGTTTTCCAATTGGGGATTTATAAGAAAATAATTCATTGCATCTGCTAAGTGTGTGAGTGCATGTGTGTCTATGTATTGAGGAGCTTATTAACAATGATGTCATATAAATGTATTGGTTATCAGAAACCAGATTTTAAGGTGTATTGGCCTCCCAGGACTTTCCAAAATAATCTTGGATGATATTGATAAAAGGTTTAGATTCTGGTATTAAACAAACCATATTGGTATTATCCTAGTTATGACCAAGCTCCTTAAACAATTTAAACCTGTACTGTATGATATGTGTATTGGGTTTTAAAATTTCCCTATGTAACAACTGACGATGCTGGACACAAATTATGGAGAGGTTAGCAAGGACAACAATTGCAAAACAATTTAAAAAATGCCTTTATTTGCATACTAACACATGAGAATTTACTTTTCACTTCATCCTCAATATAAAATATTTCAGCATATAGTAAGACAGACAGTGTATGAAGAGGAGTGAATTTGAGCTGTTTTGAGAATAAGAATATTTTCTATTTCTATAAAGACAGCTTTGAATTCATCCATTAGCATATGATGGTGCTTTCCTGTTGAAATTAGTCATGAATTTAAAGGCAGAAAATGTTACTGCACATTTAAAAGTCAAGTGTTTATCGACATTAAGGTCTGGATATTAAGGGAATCACAACCAGTGTTATTAAGGCTGCATTTTTTCTTTCTTTTCATTTGTTCAAACATGATATGTTTTCTGCTCATCATTTTATCAATTCTGGTAGTGTTTGCATTTGTTCTTGGAAATGTTGCCAATGGCTTCATAGCTCTAGTAGGTGTCCTTGAGTGGGTTAAGACACAAAAGATCTCATCAGCTGACCAAATTTCTCACTGCTCTGGTGGTGTCCAGAATTGGTTTACTCTGGGTCATATTATTACATTGGTATGCAACTGTGTTTAATTTGGCTTCATATAGATTAGAAGTAAGAATTTTTGGTTCTAATGTCTCAGCAATAACCAAGCATTTCAGCATCTGGGTGTTACTAGCCTCAGCATATTTCATTTGCTCAAGACTGCCAATTTCTCCAACCTTATTTTTCTCCACCTAAAGAAGAGGATTAAGAATGTTGGTTTGGTGATGCTGTTGGGGCCCTTGGTATTTTTCATTTGTAATCTTGCTCTGATAACCATGGGTGAGAGTGTGTGGACAAAAGAATATGAAGGAAATTTGTCTTGGATGATCAAATTGAGGAATGCAATACAGCTTTCAAACTTGACTGTAACCATGCCAGCAAACGTCACACCCTGCACTCTGACACTAATATCTTTTCTGCTGTTAATCTATTCTCCATGTAAACATGTCAAGAAGATGCAGCTCCATGGCAAAGGATCTCAACATCTCAGCACCAAGGTGCACATAAAAGCTTTGCAAACTGTGATCTCCTTCCTTATGTTATTTGCCATTTACTTTCTGTGTCTAATCACATCAACTTGGAATCCTAGGACTCAGCAGAGCAAACTTGTATTCCTGCTTTACCAAACTCTTGGATTCATGTATCCTTTGTTCCACTCATTCATCCTGACTATGGGAAGTAGGAAGCCAAAACAGACCTTTCTTTCAGCTTTGTGACAGGTGAAATGCTGAGTGAAAGGACAGAAACCCTCAACTCCATAGATTCACAAAGGGAGCATTGTGTATCTTTTAGCTGAAAACAAACTGACGGTATCTGGAACATTTTATATTTCCATTCGTTTTTCCTTAGTGTATATATTTGAATAATTTCAAAACAGATACCTAGAAAAGTCTATCTATCTATCTATCTATCTATCTATCTATCTATCTATACACACACACACACATATGTGTGTGTGGGTATATGTGTGCATGTGTGTGAATAACAACATTGACCACAAATTATGAAGCCGAGTATATTTCACATATATATGTAGGTATATTTTATGATAGTTCATCCTATGGTATTTCATGTGAAGAATTTATTACCTCTATTTATAATTAGGAACTTACAGCTTTTATCAGGAAATCATTGTTGTTTTCCATTGTAATTTGTACCACATATATGTACTTAACTATCATTGTTTGAACCTCTAATTTTTTGGATGGTAAAAACATTCAATTCTAAATTAATGATGAGAATGGATCTTTGGGGTAGGTTTTATTTCATTATGAATTCTTATTTTATATTTATTATAAAGCAAATAGAATGGTTGTTAGCTAATGATGCACACAATAAAATTTGAGTGACAAACATACATACATAAGTAGAGTAAATTTTGTATGTGTATACCAAAAACTGTTCTAAAGGATACTGGATTTAATAGTAGTATGTGAATAGATTAGAAAAAAATCATTTCTATAATAGGAATGAAGATACATGATCATGATACTTTCAGTGCTGTTATAATTTTTTAATGTGTAGTTAGAAAAGTTGTTTCTTCCACTTTTTGAATTAAAGAAAACCTTTTTTTTTTTAAATTGACATCTGATGTCAAGTATTTCCATTTATTTTGCTTAGCCACCTCTGAGCCCTTGAATTTCCAATTTTCCCTTTGTCTCCCATTCTTAATATTTCTCAAAAAAATTCAATTATTCCCTCTCTTAAAATAAACTCAATGTAAACAGGGTATATAAACTATGGATCACAATTGAATGAAACATTCTGCAAATATTGAAAATTATCTGTCTAATCTATATATTGATGATAGGAAATGTATTAATCATATGTTTCACTGTGGGTGGGCAGTGAGCTGAGGCTCCTCAAGCATCTCTTTCTATTTTTATTTTGTTTCTTGACATAGGTTCTCCAGCATTTGGCTCAAGGCCCCAAGGGCACATGTGACAAGAAGGCGCCGGCTTTTTAAACATTGGAAGTTCTTCTGTGTCAGTTCTGTGACAGAACATTTACTTAACACATCATGAAGGCTAGTTTGGATGTGGAGGGGAATAGACTCCATCTATCCATATGAGGTGAGTCAAAGCACTTAGACGTGTTTTCAAACCACTAATCTTGATGATTCAGAAATGTGCTCCCTTTTCCAATTTCATCCTGATACAAATGTATCATCTCCGGATGATGCCAATATTCTCCCCAATTCCATCATGAGCTGTTCTCTATAATTCAGAATCTGTAGACTAAGTTGTAAAACTAATGACTGTCAATGTATTCTACATGAAATAGTGGGCCAAAGAAAGAGGGAAACATGATAAGTAGAAAAATATACATACAACATTTTTTTCTTACACTAAAGATCAAATAAAACCCATAGGACCAAGCCTCCCACAGATACTTTTTATAAATTCTGGATAAAATATTTTAAAAAACAGCCATTCATTGGCAATGGAGAATGAACAAAATAGGCAGATACTAGAGAGAGGTCAGCACTTGGAAGAAGGGAATAGCAAGGAGTGAGTTTCCTGATTTTATAGCTGGCCCTAGTGTGCACCAGGCAGAGGACTAAAACGTCAGAAGAAAACTGTAGACTTACTGGGTTGAAGTAACAGAGGACTGAGTTTGGCATAACACGAGCAGCAGGAGGTCAGGAGAAAATCTGAGAAAGGAGAAGGCCAGAAAAGGGGAGCCCCAACTTCTGAATATAAACTATCCAAAGCTTTGTCTGGTCCCTATACCATGCATGTATAGGGCAGACTTCATGTAGCCCAGCTAAAATAATTAAATTGAGATTTCAGTTATCATCAAGCACAGTGAAGACAGAGATAGCAACAAAACATATTACTTTAGGCAAAGATACTCTATTCTTGAAAACCTAAACTACATTCCATTACCTTTCATAACAGTCATATTCCTTGTCCATTCTGGTTTCTACCTTGGTTCTAACTCCTACTTTTATTAATTACACTAATCAAAGTAATTCTCTTTCAAGGAGAAAACTGGAAGTTATGTAATTGAGGACTATTAAAAATAACTATTTTGGCAGATGTGCAAAATTCTCAAGCACATATATTACAACTTTCTATAGTCATATACATCCTTTTTACACTTGCTTGAATTGGTCTACAAAACCCCCATGTTTCATAGTGTAATCCAAACAAATAGCCACTCCATAAAATATAAGAATAAAAGTTATATTTATTTATTATATAACTTTGATTGGTGACCACATTTCAGTATTCCAACTTAACTAGAAATTATCCGAAGATTTTCATCAACTCACTGAATTTAATATTAGTCTAAGGTCTTAAATTGCACCAGGAATCTTGGAAATTAAATTTAAGCTGATAGGCTAGAGAAAATAATTACTGTCAATATGTGGAGTTTTTCATAATTTGTATTCAGTTTATTTGAAAGCATAATTTTACATTTTTGGTATTTTAACATTATGTGGACATATTAATTTACCTTATCAGTAAACAGATATAGGAAGTTTAGGAATTTCTTTTTTTAAAATGTATTTTTAAGTTTCATGGATACATACTAGGTGCATACATTTATTGGGTACATGAGATGTGTTGATACAGGCATGCAATGTCACATAATGAAGAATGGGGTAGCCATCCCCTCAAACATTTACTCTTTTTTGTTACAAACAATTCAGTTATACTCTTTCAGTCATTTTAAAATGTACAACTGAATTATCATTGATTATAGTCACCCTGCTGTGCTATCAAATAGTAGGTCTTATTAATTCTTTCTATTTTTTTTTTTTTTTGGTAACCATTAACCAGCCACTCCTTCCCTTTAGCCTCCACTACCTTTCCCAGCCTTTGTTTAGCATCCATGTACTCTCTATGTCCATGCCTTCTGTGCAATACATCAGTTGTTTCTGATGTATTCAACTTAACATAATAATCTCCAATTCTATCCATATATTGCTGCAAATGACAGGATCTCATTTTTTAATGGCTCAATTGTACTCCATTGTGTATATGTACCATATTATCTTTATCTATTAATCTGTTGCTGGACACTCAGGTTGCTTCCAAATCATGGCTATTGTGAACAGTGCTACAACAAACATGGGAGTGTAGATACCTGTTTGATACACTTATTTCCTTTCTTTTGGGTATATACACACCAGTGAGATTGGTGGAACATATGGTAGCTCTAATTTTTGTCTTTTAAGAAAACTTTCAATGGTTTTCCATAGTGGTTTTACTAATTTATATTCCCACCTGAGGTGTAGAATGGTTCCCGTTTCTCCACATCTTCACCAGCACTTGTTACATGCCTTTTGGATATAAGCTGTTTTAACGGGGTTGAGATGATATCTATCTCATTTTAGTTTTGGTTTGCATTTCTCTGATGGTCAATGATGTTGAGCACCTTTTCACCTTTTCATATGTGTGTTTGACATTTGTATATCTTCTTTTGAGAAATGCATATTCAAATCTTTCACCCATTGTTTGATCAGATTGTTAGATTTTTTTTTTCCTATACAGTTGTTAAAGCTCCTTTTATATTCTGGTTATTAATCCCTTGTGAGATGAGTAGTTTGCAAATATTTTCTCCCATTCTGTGGGTTGTCTCTTTACTTTGTTGATTGTACCCTTTGCTGTGCAGAAGTATTTTTTAACTTGATGTCATCCCAATTGTGCATTTTTGACTTGGTTCCCTGTGCTTGTGGGGTATTACTACTCAAGAAATTTTTGCTCAAACCAATGTCCTGGGGAGTTTCTCTGAAGTTTTCTTATGGGAGCTTCATGGTTTGAGGTCTTAAAGATACATCTTTAATCCATTTTGATTTGATATTTGTATAGATATATGGGACTAGTTTCATTCTTCTGCATAGGGATATTCAGTTGTCCCAGCACCATTTATTGAAGAGACTGTCTTTTTCCAGTGTACGTTCTTGGCATCTTTTTCAAAAATGAGTTCACCGTAGGTGTGTGGATTTGTTTCCAAGTTGTCTATTCTATTCCGTTGGTCTATGTGTCTGTCTTAATGCCAGTAACATGCTGTTTTGGTTACTACAGCCTCTGTAGTATAATATGAAGTCAGGTAACATGATTCCTCCACTTTTGTTCTTTTTTCTTAGGATACTTTTGGCTATTCTGGGTCAGTTGTGGCTCCATATAAATTTTAGGATTGTTTTCTCTATGTCTGTGAAGAATGTTTTTAGTATTTTGATAGGAATTACATTGAATCTGTAGATTCTTTGGGTAGTATGGCCATTTTAACAATGTTGATACTTCTAATCCATGGACATGGACCATCTTTTCTTTTGTTGGGTGTCCTTTTCAATTTCTTGCATTAGTGTTTTATAGTTTTCATTATAGAGATCTTTCATCTCTTTGGTTGAGTTAATCTTCAGCTATTTAATTTTATGTGTGGCTTTTGTGAGTGGGATTAATTTTTTGATTTTGTTTTCAGATTGTTCACTATTGACATATAGAAATACTACTAATTTTTTATGTTAATTGTGTATACTGCAAATTTATTGAGTTTGTTTATCAATTCTAATAGTTTTTTGGTACAGTCTTCAGGTTTTATAAATATAAGATCATATTGTTTGAAAACAGGGATAATTTGGCTTATTCTTTTCCTATGTGGATGCTCTTTATTTATTTTTCTTGCATGATTGCTCTAGCTAGAGCTTCTACTATTATGTTGAATAGCAGCAGTGATTGTGAGCATTTTTGGCATGTTCCAGATCTTAGAGGAAAGTCTTTTAGTTTTTCCCAATTCAGTATGATACTAGTTGTGGGTCTTTCTATATGATTTTTATTATGTTTAGATTTTCCTTCTATATTCAGATTTCTGAGGGTTTTTATCATGAAGGAATATTGAATTTTATCAAATGCTTTTTCAGCATTAATTTAAATGATCATATGGTTCTTGTCCTACATTCTGTTGATATGATGTATTACATTGATTGATTTTGATTTGTGTATGTTGAACCACCCTTGCATCTCAGGGATAAATCCCACTTGGCCATGAGGAATTATCTTTTTAATGTATTATTTAATTTGATTCGCTAGTATATTGTTGAGACTTTAGCATCAATGTTCATCAGGGATATTTACTTGTAGTTTTCCTTTTTCAATGTGTCTTTGTCTGGTTTTGGTATCAGGGTAATAAGATTTTCAAGAATAAGCCTGGGCCGGGCCTGGTGGCTCACGCCTGTAATCCCAGCACTTTGGGAGGCTGAGTTCGGTGGATCACGAGGTCAGGAGATCAAGACCATCCTGGCTAACACAGTGAAACCCCGTCTCTACTAAAAATACAAAAATTTAGCCGGGCGTGGTGGTGGGCGCCTGTAGTCCCAGCTACTCGGGAGGCTGAGGCAGGAGAATGGCGTGAACCCGGGAGGTGGCGCTTGCAGTGAGTGGAGAGCATGCCACTGAACTCCAGCCTGGGTGACAGAGTGAGACTCTGCCTCAAAAAAAAAAAAAAAAAAAGAATGAGCCTGGAAGTAGTCCCTCTTTCTCTATTTTTTCAGAAGAGTTTGAGTAGGATTGGCATCAGTTCTTTAAATGTTTGGTAGAATTCAGATCTAAAGCCGTCTGCTCCCAGGCTTTTTTTTTTTTTTTTTTTTTTAAACTGGGAGACATTTTATTGCAGAATTTATCTCATTACCTGTTTTTGGTCTTATCAGGTTTTGGGCTTCTTTATGGTTCGATCTTTGTAGGTTGTATGTGTCTAGGAATTTGTCCATTTGTTTTAGAGATTCCAATTTATTGATATATAGTTGTTCATACTAGTCACTAATATTTCTTTGAATTTCTGTTGTATCAGTTGTAATATCTCCATTTTCATCTCTGATTTTATTAATTTGGATCTTTTTTTCTTAGTCTGCCTAAACGTTTGTCAATGTTGTTTAACTTTTCAAGAAAACAAGTTTTTGTTTCATTGATCTTTTGTATTGTTTTCTTCATTTCAATTTCATTTATTTCTGCTGTAATTTTTATTATTTGTGTTCTACTAATTTTGGGTTTGGGTTACTTTTGTTTTTCTAGTTCTTTAAGATACACAATTAGGTTGTTTATTTGAATTTTTCTTCTTTTCTCATGTAGGCTTTTATAGCTGTAAATTTCCTTCTTAGTATTGTTTTTGCTGTATTTCATAGATTTTGGTATGTTTTGTTTCCACTATCATTTGTTTCTAGCAATTTTCCATTTCCTTTTAAATTTATTTGTTGACCTACTGGTCATTCAGGAGCATACTGTTTCATTTCCATGTGTTTATATAGTTTCCAAAATTATTCTTGTTATTGATTTCTAGTTTTATCCCATTGTGGCCAGAGTTGATGCTTGGCAATATTTCAGTTTTTTGGATTGTTTAAGACTTGTTTTGTGATCTAACATATGGTCTATCCTTGAGAAAAATCCATGTGCTGAGGAAAAGAATGTTTATTCTGCAACTTTTGGGTGAAATGTTACGTAAGTATCTAATAATCAGTTTGTTCCATAGTGCAGATTAAGTCTGATGTTTCTTTGTTGATTTTCTGTCTGGAGGATCTGTCCAATGCTGAAAGTGGAATGTTGAAGTCTCCATCTATTATTGAATTGAGGCTTTTCTCTTTGCTTTGCTCTAATAATATTTGCTTTATATATCTGGGTGCTCCAGTGTTGAGTGCACATATATTTACAATTGCTATATCCTTTTGGTGAATTGACCCTTTTATCATTATATGGTGACCTTCTTTATGTCCTCATAGTTTTTGTCTTGAAAACTATTTTGTCTAATATTAGTATAGGTACTCTACTTTTTTGTTTTGTTTTTTTTTTTTTTTTTTGGTTTGCCTTGACATGGAATATCTTTTTCCATCCCTTTATTTTCTCTCTGTGCATGTCTTTATAGGCAAAGTGTGTTTCTTAGAGGCAACAGATTGGAGTTTTTTTTTTGTTTTGTTTTTCCATTTAGCCAAACACTATGTCTTTTGATTGGAGAGTTTAGTCCATTTTCATTCAACGTTATTACTGGTAGTAAGGTCTTACTTCTGTCATTTTATTATTTCTTTTCTGGTTATGTTGTAGTCTGCTATTCTTTCTTTCCTTCCTTCCTATTTTTCATTAGTGAAGGTTATTTTCTCTGGTGATATGATATAGTTTCTTGCTTTTTATTGTTTTGTGTATCCATTCTATGCTGTTAGGTTTGAGATTACCATGAGGCTTGCAAATGCTATCTTCTAACCCATCATTTCAAGCTAATAACCACTTAGTACTGTTTACATAAGCAAACAAACAAGCACAAAAACAAAACAAATGAGGACTCTGCACCTTAACTCCATCTTCTCAGGTTTTAACTTTTTGTTTTCACTATTAATATCTTATTGTACTGTCTATGTCTTCAAAGCCTGTTGTAGCTATTTTTTAAAATTATACTTTAAGTTCTGGGGTACATGTGCAGAACACGCAGGGTTGTTACATAGGTATACATGTGCCATGGTGGTTTGCTGCACCCATCAACCCGTCATCTACATTAGGTATTTCTCCTAATGCTATCCCTAGCTCCCCACCCTCCAAAAGGCCCAGGTGTGTGATGTTCCCCTCCCTGTGTCTGTGTGTTCTCACTGTTCAATTCCCACTTATGAGTGATAACATGTGGTGTTTGGTTTTCTGTTCCTGTGTTAGTTTGCTGAGAATGCTGATTTCCAGCTTCATCCATGTCCCTGCAAAGGACATGAACTCATCATGAACAGATGATTATACTGAGGCACAGAGTAGTTATAAGATGAAGTCTCAGAGCATAGCTATGTGAAGCAGAAAATCTGGTTTCCTGTCTTGGCAGTTTGACTCCAAAATCCTCTCTTAGAAACAATTATACTTTTTAAATGGAAAAGAAATAAAATCCAAGATTGGAGACTGATTTTAACATCTATTCCTCTTAATCCTTTAAGTAATCAAAAATAAATTAAACGGAGAAAAATGAAACCAAATATTCATATACAAAGAACTCTAGACTCTTCAGTGAGAAACATGTGTTTTTCAAGTCACCCAAAATAGTTACACAATTGCTGAGTATTTTAATTAAACAATAAATATTTAAGTATTAACTGGGCTCTAGAGAAAAACTTAGTCAAAGGCCTCAGCATGAGCGATAAGTTTGATAAATATTGAAAATGGTCTGAAAAGCCCAAGTGGAAAAGCAGGGCTATTTCTACCTGGATGATGTCCCTGTAATTAATTTTCCATTTTGGAAATTAGAGGACAGAAATTCCTTCTATCCATGAGGGGGTGAGTATGTATGTATGTGTGTATGTTTGTGAATGTGTTTGTATGAATGAGCTTGTAAACAATAAGTTATACAAAAGTATTAGTAGCCACCAGGATTTAAGGATTATTGGCCTTTCTGAGGTTCCCAAGAAAACCTTAAATGCTTTTGGTAGGAAAAGATGGGATTCATTCTACATATTACTGGCGTTGAAAATATAAATCTACTTTGTTGATGATCCTAGTTATGCCCAAGCTCCCTTTACCAGGTAATAAAACCAATGTGTCATCTGTGTATTGGGTTGTTAAATTGCTGAACACAAATTATGGAGAGTTTAAACAAGGAAAAAATTGCAGAACATTTAAAAAACTCTTCATTGGCATGCTAGTAGATGAGAATTCAGGTTTTACTTCAACAACGATGTGGAAAATTTTATCTTACAGCAAGGACATTGTGTTTGAACAAGAGTTAATTTGAGCTGTTTTGGAAATTATCATATTTTCCATAAAGAGAGCATTGATTACATCCGTTGGCCTATTGAGATGCTTTCCTGTTTGACATTGGTCACAGAATTTAAAAGGAAAAACAACATTACTGCACACTTAGGAATCAGGAATAGAAGTAAAAGTCAGGTAAAGGGAATCTCGTCAGGATATCAGGCCTGCCTTTAAAAAAATTCAGACATGATAAGTTTACTACCAATCATTTTTTCAATAACAACAATAATATATTTATATTTTCCCATGGACACCTACATTAAGCTTGTAGACTATTTTTATATTTCAATATTTTTTTCTTTGAGTCCTTTTAAGAGTTGTTCAACAATCCTGAAATATCCCTTACAGTATGCTGTTAACTAATTATATTTTTTCAAAGTCATTTGACATAATGATTGATTAAAGGAAGTATCTCCAGTATAAGTACACTTGCTTATAACAAAAGAGTATTTGAAATTGACATTACTTATTTTGGAAAGGATATGACACAATGGGAATTTTCATACACCACTCCTAGAATTATAAATCTGTGACATCATTTCGGCCGAGTATGGCATTATCTGATTAAGATGAAGGATCACATCCTAAGACCCAGCATTTATACTCTTATCAGAATACATATACATTCACATGCATATCACTGAGTTTCAATAGCTAAAGTTGAGAAGTCCTCCAAATGTCTATCAGTCCTCCAAATGAATAAACAAATTGTGGCATACTTATACAATGGAATACTATACAGTGATCAAAATTAACAAACAAGACTGACATGTTTACAACAGAATAATACAACAGAGAAAATGAACAAATTTGAGCTACATAAATAATAATACAGATATGAGAAGAATTATCAAGATGGAAAAATACATTTAGTATAATCTCATTTACATAAAGTTTGAAAAACATTCTTTTTAATAATTGTAATTTATTACATTGGTGATAAAACTCTGTAGTGAAACATATGAGTGATCATCATAACAACTGGGATAGTCAAGAAGGAGGAAAATGTCAGCAAGAAGACATATATTGGGATTATCTGGATGGCTGGCAAATTCTTTTTTCTTGCCAATGTGTGGTAACATCCATGTTAACGTTACAATTTTTTCTCTTTCTGTTTCTGTTGTGTTATTACTCTCTATGTGTATGTTATGCTCCACAATAAAAAATGTTAAAAAAGCAGAAACATAAAGTATATTTCTAAGTATAAAATTAGGGTGATACAGCATATTCTCATAGATACCATTGTAATTAGAGTTTTTGCTGAATAAAGGAGAATAGAGCATTATGGTACTAAGAAATCCAAATTAAAATTTAAAACTTTTCTTTTTTTATTTTGAGACAGCGTCTCACTCTGTTGCCCAGGCTGGAGTGCACAAGCGCAATCTTGGCTCAATGCAACCTCCGCCACCTGGGCTCAAGTGATTCTCCCATCTCAGCCTCCTGAATATCTAGGACAACAGGTGTGCACCACCACACCCTGCTGATTTTTTCTATTTTTTTTTAGAGGCAAGGTTTTGCCATGTTGCCCAGGCTGGGCTTGAACTCTTGTGCTCAGGCAATCCACCTCCCTCAGCCTTTCAAAATGCTGGGATTATAGGTGTGAGCCACCACACCTGACCTAAAACTTTTCTTAAATTAATTTTAAAAAAGGAGAGATAAGCAAGAACTGTAAATCCACCTTCTTAATGCTAATATGAATTTGAAACATCAAAATTTGAATATTTATTATTGATAGACACTTTTTATTTCCAATTTGATTATTTATGATACACATTTGAAAGTGTTAGAAATTCATGAATTTCCAATAAATTATACTACGATGGATATTAAATTAAATAAATATATCCAAAAATGTGTCTCTAAATGAAATATTTATACTCATATTTTTAGCATTTTAATTTCACAATACTATTCACATGTACACCTGTAAGTTGGGTTAAATATTTTGTTACTATAAATTTTTTGGCTCTACATTAGAGAAAAATACCATAGAAAGGCAAATTTTTTAAGGTATAAAACATATTTAGCATGATCTTTGAGTATGTTTGTGCATATATAATTCTACTTTGACTGCTATAGTAAAATGATCCAGATTTAGTCACCATAGCTAAGAAGGGGAAAAAGCATTTGCAAGAATTTGGCTTGCTAATGATGCTATTAAAAGATAAACTAAAGTTGATATACTGTATTATTGCATAGACTATTTGTCCATGTTTGTATTCAAAAATGCCAAAAAAAATCCCAAAATAGAATCCTAATTGTTGGAGGTCGTGTTTCTTATCGAATTTTAAAATGTAGTAAAAGAAAAAAAAGCAAATAAATCGTTGAAAATATGTTGGTTTTACATTATTCTTGATGAAATACCATGTGAGGGTACTTGTCTAGGCCTAATGCTGAGAATCATAGAAGAATCATGAGGCCATGAGGAAGAATAGTAGTGTTCTCTCATCACGCTGAGCTCCAGTACTTAGAAACAAGCCTGAAATCACATTGATCAAATAGCATTCTCCCTTTCACCTGCCATCATCATTATCATCATCGTCTATATCTTCATCTATATCATGAAGTGGTTTGTTTTTGAAATATTTAAATACATAATTTGGAAAATAAGTAATTTTAAAAAGATCATCATTGTGGGAAAGTTACAATAGTAAACAGCAAAGTTCAAGTCAAGCTCCAATACATTTAGATTTAGAAATTAAGTGTAGTTTATTTTACAATACATTGCTTATGCAAATAATTATTTATGGATGACCTTCAATGAATCCTCCTTTCACTATGATCATGATAGAAACAATTTAGATTTTCGTGTAAATAAAATTCCTTAATAAGAAAGATAAAGCGAATAACACATTTTTTGAGCACGCTTTTATTTCTAAAGAGCGGATTTTAGGACCAAACTGTCAAACAGAGGTAAGACCCCAGATCTTCTGTCACACTTGAGTGAGTGATGATGGAGTTAGAAGGTTGTAGTTCTATAACCAAAACTATATTCATGGATAGGATTAAATGGTGGAATTCCATAGAAGCACCAGATTCAGTTTTGTTTCCATGGGACTTAAAGTCTACTTATGTCAGATGTCCTTCATTTTTTGATAAACTCGTAAGTACTGTTTTACTATTTGATCTTTCAATGATTGTTATAAACTAAGAAGTTTTGATTTCTGCTAATTAAAACAGCATAGGGCGGGCGCGGTGGCTCACGCCTGTAATCCCAGCACTTCGGGAGGCCGAGGTGGGTGGATCACGAGGTCAGGAGATGGAGACCATCCTGGCGAACACAGTAAAACCCTGTCTCTACTAAAAATACAAAAAATTAGCCAGGCGTGGTGGCGGGCTCCTGTAGTCCCAGCTACTCCGGAGGCTGAGGCAGGAGAATGGCGTGAACCCGGGGGACAGAGTTTGCAGTGAGCCGAGATCGCGCCACTGCACTCCAGCCTGGGAGACAGCGACACTCCGTCTCAAAAAACAAAACAAAACAAAGCAAAAACAGCGTAAAATTTAAATCATGGAATAGAGTGGTGGAGCTGTGGTTGAGATGCTCTATTTAATTAATTTTAATGACATTTTGAGATCCAGTGCTGCTCATTGAATTTGCCTGTGAAAAGAGTTTGTGGTGATGACCCAGCAACAGATAAGATACTATCCAAAAAAAGCTACTGACATCAAATCAATTTCCAGTTTCTTCTAAGTTGCAGGAGAATGCCTAGATCTTGCTTTTATTCTCTTCTTTGACCAAAGTATTACAAAAAGAAAAATATGGTTACCATTTTCATGTCAGGTATACTAAAAGTTTAAAAAAACTCTTTTTTTAATAACTTGGTTTTAGGAATACCTGGTTTAGTTTCTCCGTTAGAAAAATGATTTATATAAGGAGAACAAAAGTTCATTTCTACTTCTAAAACAATAAGACAAAAACAAAAAGAGTAATCAATTTTGAGAATCCAATAGAGTTAAAAACCAGTTAAACATAAGAAAGAATTAGTGAATTTGAAGATAACTACCCAGAATGAAGATAAAGAGACGAATAGATAGAAAATATAAGGCTAGAGGGTCAGAGACAGTGAAGCTACAATCAGAACAACTAACATACTTCTGCAGTTCCCGAAAATTAGAAGAGAGCAAATGGGGCAGAAGCAATGTGGAGATTTTTCCAAAAGTGATAAAGTATATCAGTTCATATATTTTTAGAAACTATCAGACTTCAGACACGATAACTAAAACCAAATTAACATAAAATGACAGGACATCAAAGACCAATAGAAAACCTGAAAAGTAACTAGAGGAAAAGATAGATTATGTTAAAGGGAATAACTGTCTAAACGACAAGCTGATTTTCAACAGACAAAAATAAAGCTAGAGTTCAATGGATTCATGTCTTCAGTGTATTTCAAAAGTAGAATAGATCTTGATAAACAGAAACTTAAAATACATCTTTTCAGATAGAAGAAAAATTATTATTAATATTATTATTATTATTTTTGTTGGTAGAGTTGGAGTCTCACTCTGTTATCCAGGCTGGAGTTCAGTGGTAGGATCATGGCTTACTGCAGTCTGGAACTCCTGGGCTCAAACCATCCTCCCACCTCAGCCTTGTGAGTAGCTTCACTATGCCTGACTAACTTTTTCATTCATTGTAGAGGCAGTTTTACTGTGTTGCACAGGCTGGTCTTGAACTCCTGGGTGCTCCTGCCCCAGCCTTACAAAATGTTGGGATTATGGGTGTGAGCTACCCTGCCTGGCCAATAAAGGGTCTTTTTGAAAATATTAAGTTGAATATGCAAGAAGGAATACAAATTAATGAAAGTGGTAAATATGTGCATAATTCTAAATGAATGTTTACTGCAAAAAATAATAATATCTTGTTGGGGTAATTATATAATTGATAAGACATATGCAAATGGCAAAAAAGAGAATGGAGGTAAAGGTGACAGGAGTAAGTTTAGTTAAATTATTTCTTGAACTTTTCTATGTCTATGAGGAGATTTTGAACAATGTTAATGTAATTCCACTCATAGGTATATATGCAAAGGAATTGTATCAAATGATATATGAAAGAATGTTCTAGTAGAATTATTCATAACTGTTCAAAAAAGAAGCTGGCCAAATACATATTAAGGTTGGATGAATCATTACAGTAATTCCGTGCAATGGAACATTATAGAAAAGTGAAAAAAATCACATGTACTTGCAACTATGTGACTAAATTTCAGAAGCGTAATGTTGGGTCCAAGAAGCCACAAACAAGAAGAACATGTAGGATGCACCTACACACAGTTCAAAGCAGGCCAGACCAAGCTACGGAGTTTAGGGTTGCATACCTAGTTGGTAAAGTATAAAGAAAATTGAGGAAATAATCATCATAAATTATGGATATTGCTAATCTCAGGAGATGCGAAGAAGGGTTTAGGGGCTTGTAAAGTGGCATGGAGGTGGACCTAGGCTGTTTTCGGTGTTCCTTGTCTTGCCCTGCATCATGGTTACTTGAGTGTTTATGATACACTGTGGTATTTCCCATTTTTGTATTGGTTCATTTCTAAGTGCGCATTATAACTTTAATATACAAATTTGTAATTAGGAGAAATATCTCATAGAAATTATTATTACTCGTCTCATTATATACTGAAGGGAAATATCAATTATTTGTATACATTCCTATACAACTCTAAGATAGTTGAAATAGGAACTTTCTTATTTAGTTGCAACATGAGGAAATTTGAGATGATGTTATCTGCCACCCCCAGATCTTTCCAAAGGATTTCTTCTAGCCTTAATTATCGACCTCACAGGACAAACCTTTGCCATTCCCCATCTATTTTTTCTTTCGGCTCCTGAATTCCTGACACAACAAGGTTGTACATATTTCCCACACTCTTGGTTTAAGAGTTCTTTTATCAGTTATGTTTCTCTGCAGGAGAAGACCCTTCAAAACTACATTAGATATTTATATCTCACATGTCGTTTGATGTTGGTTTTTTGTTTTGTTTTGTTTTGTTTTGTTTTTTGACAGAGTCTTGCTGTGTCGCCCAGGCTGGAGTGCAGTGGCATAATCTCAGTTCACTGCAACCTCCGCCTCCCGGGTTCATGCCATTCTCCTGCCTCAGCCTCCCGAGTAGCTGGGAATACAGGTGCACACCACCATGCCCTGCTAATTTTTGTATTTTTGGTAGAGATGGGGTTTCACCATGTTGGCCAGGATGGTCTCCATCTCTTGACCTCGTAATCTGCCTTCCTCAACCTCGCCTGCGCTGGGCCTGGATTTTATTTTTCTAAGCTGGGTTTGGTGGATGGCTGTGGTGATTTGAGATGGGCCAAATTCTGCATCTTGGAGGACGTTAGAGTTTTGCCAATTTAATCTGGATCAGGTGGCAGCAATCTCACGTCTTTAGTTTCTCATTCTTCTTCTGGGAACAGTGTACTAGATAGGCCATACTCTTATGGTAAATGGAAAGAAGAAGAATCCCCAGTATGGAAGCCATCTCAAATCTCTATGCAAACTGTAGTAATTTTCTGTTTATCAAAGTAAGTGAAATGATTGAACTCCAAGTTCAGGGGCAAGGTAGTCAGTCTTCCTGTGATAGGATACTGCAGGATTATATATCAAAGGGTCTGGTACTGAGGAATTCTTATAAAATTGCTAAATATTTTTTATAATAATATTTAAACATTAGACTTGAGAGAAACTTTACCAAGTCCTAAGAATTAGAGATAATGTTTTTGATAAATAAATATGATTCATGGGCTGAAAACCCTGAGTGGGAAAATAGGACTAATTTCATCTGCACAGCCTCTTGGAAACTCATTTTTTATTTTGGAAATTACAAGAAAATAATTTGTTCCATTCATAAGTGGTGTGCACATGTGTATATTTGTGTGCATATTTATGAGTTTGTGAATAATGAAGTTATACGAAAGTGTTAGCAGCAACCAGATCTTATGGAGTAGTGGCCTGCCTGTGGTTCTCAAGAAAATCTGAGATGCCTTTGATAAAAGCAGTTAGGATTCTGTGTATTTAAATCTGTGATTTAAAAAAGTCCGCATTGGTGATGATCTTAGTTATGACCAAGCTCCCTTTGAGAATTTAGATATTTACTATATGATATATATATTGAGTTACAAAACTTCCCTAACAACTGAAGTCACTAAAGATAAATGATGGAGAGGTTACACAAGGAAAAATTGCAAACACTGAAAGTGAATATGTCCCTATTTGCATACTAGCAAATGAGGATTCAGGTTTCACGTCAATTTCAGTGTGAATAATTCCAGCCTATAACAAGAACAGACAGTGAATGAATGAGTTAATTTGAGTTGTTTGAAAATAAGAATGTTTTCCATAAAGAGATCATTGAACTCATCAGTTAACATGCCATGGTTATTTCTGGCTTGACACTGGTCACAACAATTAAAAGTAAAAAGAATGTCACAGCACATTCACAAATCAGGTGCATATAGAATTTAAGGTCAGGATATTCAAGCAATCACACCCAGTTATATTACATTGAGAGATGAAGCGAGCTATACTTTCTGAATCGAGTGGGGACTTGGAGAACGTTTCTGTAGCTAGCAAGGGGATTGTAAAATGCACCAAACAGTGCACTGTAAAACCACAGCAATCAGCGCTCTGTAGCTAGCAAGAGGATTGTAAAATGCACCAATCGCTCTAAAATACACCAAGCAACAGGATCCTAAAAGTAGCCAATGGCAGGGAGGATTGAAAAAAGGGCACTCTGATAGGACAAAAAAAGGAAAATGGGAGGGGACAAATAAGGGAATAAAAGCTCATGGCTTCAGCCAGCAGCAGCAACCTGCCTGGGTCGCCTTCCTCTCGGTGGAAGCTTTGTCCTTTCTCTCTTCTCAATAAACCTTGCTGTTGCTCACTCTTTGGGTCCATGCCATCTTTAAGAGCAGCAACACTCACCGTGAAGGTCGGTGGCTCCATTTTTGAAGTCAGGGAGACCACGAACCCACCTGCAGGAACCAACTCCGGACACAACACCAGCATTAAAACAATTTTTTTTTGTCTGTTCAGACATGACAACTTTTATACCCATCATTTTTTCCAGTGTGGTAGTGGTTCTATTTGTTATTGGAAATTTTGCTAATGGCTTCATAGCATTGGTAAATTCCATTGAGTGGGTCAAGAGACAAAAGATCTCTTTTGCTGACCAGATTCTCACTGCTCTGGCGGTCTCCAGAGTTGGTTTGCTCTGGGTATTATTATTAAATTGGTATTCAACTGTGTTTAATCCAGCTTTTTATAGTGTAGAAGTAAGAACTACTGCTTATAATGTCTGGGCAGTAACCGGCCATTTCAGCAACTGGCTTGCTACTAGCCTCAGCATATTTTATTTGCTCAAGATTGCCAATTTCTCCAACCTTATTTTTCTTCACTTAAAGAGGAGAGTTAAGAGTGTCATTCTGGTGATGCTGTTGGGGCCTTTACTATTTTTGGCCTGTCAACTTTTTGTGATAAACATGAAAGAGATTGTACGGACAAAAGAATATGAAGGAAACATGACTTGGAAGATCAAATTGAGGAGTGCAGTGTACCTTTCAGATGCGACTGTAACCACGCTAGGAAACTTAGTGCCCTTCACTCTGACCCTGCTATGTTTTTTGCTGTTAATCTGTTCTCTGTGTAAACATCTCAAGAAGATGCAGCTCCATGGTAAAGGATCTCAAGATCCCAGCACCAAGGTCCACATAAAAGTTTTGCAAACTGTGATCTTTTTCCTCTTGTTATGTGCCATTTACTTTCTGTCCATAATGATATCAGTTTGGAGTTTTGGGAGTCTGGAAAACAAACCTGTCTTCATGTTCTGCAAAGCTATTAGATTCAGCTATCCTTCAATCCACCCATTCATCCTGATTTGGGGAAACAAGAAGCTAAAGCAGACTTTTCTTTCAGTTTTGCGGCAAGTGAGGTACTGGGTGAAAGGAGAGAAGCCTTCATCTCCATAGATTCATGAGAGGGGCATTGTGTGTCTTCTAGCAGAAAACAAACTGGTGGTGTATGAAACATTTTATATTTCTTACTGGTTTTTCTATACTGTATGTGTATGAATAATTTCCCAACGTATACCTAGAAAAGTCTTTGACCTAATATTAGTCTAGAAAAAAATATATATATATGTGTGTGTGTGTTTATGTGTGTATGAAAACTTAAGAACATTGACAATAACATGCTCTTTTCTGTTTTTTTCATACAAACTGCCAAATTATACAAAATATGACAAAAATTTCTTAGAATTTTGAAGCCATGTATATTTCATTCATGTTATATTTCATTTGTAGAATTTATGATGTCTATTTATAATTATTAAGAAGTAACAGTTTATCCCAGGATAAATATTGCTCTTTTCTATTGTTATTTGAACCACAGGAATACACCACATTGTGCTTAGAATTCATTGCTTGAACCTTGAATTTATTGGATGGTAAAGTCATTCAATTCTAAATCAATAATGAGGATGTATCTTTGGTGTTTTATTCCATTATGAATTTCTATTTTATGTTTAGTAAAAAGCAATGAGAATTATTGTTAGAAAACAATGCACACAGTAGAATTTGAGTGAGAAGCATATGCAGAGTAAATTTAATGTATGTCTACCATAAGCGGTACTGAGGAATATTAGATTTCATATGTGAATAGCTTAGGAAAAAATCCCTTCTCTAATAAAGGGATGAAATATCATGATCATGATCTGGATTGGTATCATCAGTTATGCATATGCAGTTAGAAACGTCATTTCTTCCGCTTTTGAATTAAAGAAAAGCTGTTTTTGAAGTTGAGATCTCATGCAAATTATTTTAGTATTCTTTCTAAAGCACTTTTAAGCCCCTGAATTGCTAATTATATCCTTACCTTCCATTTATGAAATTCCTTCTAAACTTCAGATAAGAGAACTCAAATCCTCTCTTTTTGAAAAATAAAATCAATGTAAATATAATATATAAATTGTGGAAAATATTTCAGTCAAACTTTTTGTAAATGTTAAAAAAGTATCTATGAAATCTGTGTATTAATTATGAGATGAGCCTTAACGTTGTAATTTTGTCATCAATGATGAAATGAAAGGGTGTTGACATATTCTTTAATAGGAAGTTCTATTATAAGAAAGAAATGTACAGTCTTGTTCACAGCTAAATTCTACTTGACTGTATTAATTCTTGGTGTTATGAAATTTAAACAATGTGATTTAAACCTTAAGATGAATCATCCCCCCACCTGATTTGTGTATTTTTTTAATCATATATCTTCCTCAGTACAATGTAAGGACTGTAAAAAAAGAGATAATGTCTGTCTTGCTTTCTGTTGACTCCCAGGAACTCGAAACCAGCACCAAGAATAGATGGTCAAAAATGATACTTTAATGAACAAATAAATGGGTGGCTAAAATGGATAAGTTGATGTGGTTAACCAGTGAAAAGGAAACTCACACAAAATCTGCAGTTGCATGAATTCCCCTGTTCCAGTCTCAGGTTAAGATTACAGGCTTATCCAAGCAGAATCCTTCTCCTAAGGAAAAGTTTGGCTATTCCACAATTTTAGGGGAAATATGACAATAATATAGTCTTGATGCAGCTGTATCAGGTGTCTGAGTTGGAGACAAGGTAGAACACCAAAATTAGATGGCACCTATTATAATGGTTTGAAAAATCATATAAACAACTTTGGTCTATTTGAATATGTATTTTTTTCTATTGTCAATTATTTGTATTATGATATTTTCTAGTTGATTATTTAAACAAAAATGACATTTCATTTCAAAAAATTGAGTTAGTAACCAGCTACTTTACCAAAATGTTTTTAATGTAATACCTGTTATTGAAGTGCTACCATTTATTTAGAAGTCAAGTTCAAGACAAAAATGGCAAGGACGTGTGGAAATTGAGACCGGAACAAATGTGAAACAATGTGTGGTGATGTCTGGTATGACCCTGATGGCAGCCACTTCACAGTGAGGTGAGAGAGACAGCATGATGGTCATCAGATGCATGTACTTGGCTTCCAGCACTTTTCCAGAAGGGCTACAAGGGGAAACCACAGCTGGCATTAGTCCATGGAAGAGAGAGAGGAGGGAGAATGTATCTGCTCATCTGTCATTAGTCTTCTATTTCCTATTGGTCAGGGTTTCCTTGAGGCAGAACTATCATCTCTGCTGTTCTGTCTTACATCATCCAGTCCCTTGGTGGTGGTCATGAAAGTCAGACCTCATGCCCACAGTGTGGTGATGCATTCAAGTCCCAAATAGAAGGATGATCTGGATCAGGCAAGGTGCTGGCCAGGGGAATTGGACATAGTGAAGAGAATCTGAGAAAGCACATGTTTGTGTCCAGTACCGCCACTCCTTGTGCCACTGAGGCGTGCTCATACCCTCCAGTCATGGCTGGCTTTATGAGCATATGACGTCCACAGTTGCATAGGGTTTTGTGCTTATAGGGACTTGTGCTTAGAGGGACTCTATGCTTGGATTAATATTCTGCACTTGCTATTTTGTTTGTCAGACAGAGGATACTTGTCTGCTGAAGAGAGAATGGTCTTACACTAATTCCATAGGGATTTGCTCTCCCCTCTCCAACAGGCTTGTCAGAGACATGCACAGAGTCCTATAATGACCACTACGTATGTTCTAGCATCTTTGAATCCTGCTGGATCATCTGGCACAGTGGCCAGAGCAGCTTGGAGCAGAGTCTATATCTTCTGTAGAGCCCTCATTTGTTCTGGATTCCACTTGAGACCAGCAGCCTGGGAAACTTCGTTAATGAGTCAGAGCAATATTCTCAAATGTGGAATATGTTGTCTCCAAAATCCCAATAGGCCCCCAAAACATTGTGTCTCTTTTGTAGTGATAGGAAATTTATAGAGAGAGCAACATGCCATATACTGTAAAAAAGATTGTTTCAACGTGTGGTCTAGGGACACTGAATGCTTTAAAACATCACCTATGCTGTAGGTCCCTGAATGTTCTCAGGTTGGTTTCTTTTCTTCTGGTATTTTACTTCCATTCATCGTTAGAGTATTTTACTATAGTTAAGAAACTTGCCACTTCCTGATTATTGTACCAAGTAATATATTATTATTATTATTGCTATTATTTTGAGACAGGGTCTCATTCTGTCCCTGAGGCTGGAGTTCAGTGGCAGGATCACAGCTCATTACAGCCTCAACCTTCTGGGCTCAAGTAATTCTCCCACCTCCGCATTGCTAGCAGCTGGGACTGCAGGGGCACAACATCACGCCTGGCTAATTTTTGTATTTTCTGTAGGGCTAGGATTTCACAGTGTTACCCAGGCTGGTCTCAAAATCCTGGGCTCAAATGATCTTCCCGTGTCGGCCTCCTAAAATGATGGGATTACAGTCATGTGCCACAGGGCCTGGTCTGTAATATTATTAATATATTAAATAATCACGATGTTTTAAAAAATGTAAATTAAACAGAAGTGACATAGCCGTGATATAAAACAGTGACACAGTGTTATTATTATGATACAAGGCAAATTGTTTTGATTTTTCCTCATAATGGGTGTAGATTAAGAACCATTCAGCAAATCACAAGCCCAGTAAAAAGTACCAGAAGCTCTGCTCTGCTTAGTGAAGACAGCACATCCTGGAAAGCATTTGTGAGTGTTGATTTAAGTTTCTGGTAGTCTGTATTCATTCTATAACCCGTCTGGTTTTGATAGAGGCCAGATAGGTTTAGTGAATCGGCTTATAGAAAGGACTACCATCCCCTGTAACTTTCAAGTGTTTTGTCACGGCACTGACCAGTTCCATTCCTTAGGGAATGCGGTTATTATATTTTATATATTTTGTTGCCAGTAGAGGAGAATTTCAGAGGCTTCCCTTTGGTCCTGCTATAATAATGTCCTTTACTCTACAGTTCACGAAGAATGTGAGTCCTGCCGGCTGCCATACATATCTATTTCAATTATACTTTCTTTTTTTTTTTTTTTTTTTTTTTTTTTGAGACAGAGTCTCGCTCTGTCGCCCAGGCTGGAGTGCAGTGGCGCGATCTCGGCTCACTGCAAGCTCCGCCTCCCGGGTTCACGCCATTCTCCTGCCTCAGCCTCCGGAGTAGCTGGGACTACAGGCGCCCGCTACCACGCCCGGCTAATTTTTTGTATTTTTTTTTTTTAGTAGAGACGGGGTTTCACCATGTTAGCCAGGATGGTCTCGATCTCCTGACCTCGTGATCCGCCCGCCTCGGCCTCCCAAAGTGCTGGGATTACAGGCTTCAATTATACTTTCAGGAAGAGGTAGTAACTACAAACTGATTAGCTCCACCTTGGAATGGACATGAGCCGAAGCTCTAGGTAGTATCTGACCTTCAAAAACTCCCCCTGCAGGCTGGATGTGATGGCTCATGCCTGCAGTCCTAGCACTTTGGGAGGCGAAGGTGGGAGGATCCCTTGAGAGCAGGAGTTCCCTTCACAACATGTGGAAACTCCGTCTGTACAAAAAATTTAAAAAATTAGCTGGTGTGTTGGTGCATGCCTATAGTTCCAAATACTTGGGAAGCTGAGGCAGGAGGATTGCTTGAGCGCAGGAGTTCCAGGCTGCAGTGGACTATGATCCTGCCACTGTACTCCAGCTTGGGTAACAGAGGGAGACTGTGTCTCAGAAGAAGAAAAAAAAACAAGTATAAGTTCTCACCGGTATCTTAAACATCAAGTAAAACAGTATCGAGTAAAACAAAAAACTAAAAACTCCAAAAGTCAAAAACACTTTTAAAAAGAACATGGTGTTAAGAGTAGTTTGTTCAGTTTCCCCATAGAAAATGATTTATGGAAGGAGAATAAAAGATTATTCTGAACACTAAAACAATAAGACTGAAAAAATGAATTATCAATATTGAGAATCCAATAGACAGAGTTAACCAGTTGGATACAGTACAAGAGAGAATAAGTGAATTGGAAGATAGCTACACAGAATGAAGCATAGAAGGGAAGAGATGGAAATACACAGAGCTAGAGGGTAACACATTGATGCTACAGACAGAACACCTAACATACTTCTGGAGTTCTGTAAGATTAGAGGAGAGAAAATAGAGCAAGAGAAATGTTGCAAGGATTTTTCCAAAAGGTATAAAATGTATCCCTGAATATATTTTTAGTAATCTCAAACTTCAGGCATGATAACTAAAACCAAATTAACATAAAATAATACAGGACACAAAAGACCAATAGAAAATCTGAAAAGTAGCTAGAGGTAGAAGATAGAGTATGTTGAAAAGAACTGTATTCTAAATACAACCTGATTTTAACAGAAAACATGGAAGCAGGAATTCAATGGATTAATGGGAATCATGTCTTCAATGTGTTTCCAAAGAGTAGTAGACCTTCATAAACAGAAATTGAAAATGATATTTTTCAGATAAAATAAAATTACTGAAAATACAAAGTTGAACACGCAAGGAGCATTACAAATTAATGACAATCCATGCTGGCTAACACGGTGAAACCCCGTCTCTACTAAAAATAAAAAAAAATTAGCCTGGCCTGGTGGCGGGCACCTGCAGTCCCAGCTACTCCGGAGGCTGAGGCAGGAGAATGGCTAAACCCGGAAGGCGGAGCTTTCAGTGAGCAGAGATCGTGCCACTGCACTCCAGCCTGGGTGACAGGGAGACTATGTCTCAAAAAAAAAAAAAAAAATTAATGACAATGAAAACTAAGTGTGTAATTCTAAATAAATGTTGACTATATAAAACAATAGTGTCTTCGTGGATTGAATGTATAATTGATAAGATATATGCAAATAGCAATAAAGAGGCTGGAGATAAAGGTAACAGGAATAAATTTAGTCAAACTGTGTTTTGGGCTTTTCTATGTCTGTGAGAAGAATTTGAACATCATAATCAAGGACCCTGTAATTCTACAACCAGATATATATACACAGAGGAATTGTAGCAAATGATATGTGAAAGAATGTTCATTGTAGCATTATTCATAAAAGCTCAAAAAATAAGCTGTCCAAATATATATCAAATAAGGATGGATAAATAATTACAGTAAAATCAAAAAATGAAAAAAATATAGAGAAGTGAAAAGAAATGGATCACATGTACATGCAATGATGGGGTTAAATTTTGGATACAAAATGTTGATTCCAGGAAGCCATGAATAAGAACATATAGGATTGCACCTATACATAGATCAAATCAGGCCAAACCAAGCTATTGAGTTTAGGGTCGAATACCTTATTGGTAAAGTATAAAGAATATTAAAAAAAGACCATCATAAATTAGGGATGTTGCTTATCACAGGAGACATGAAGAAAGGTGTAGGGAATTAGAAAGTGGCATTGAGGTAAACTTAGGCTCTTAGCAATGTTCCATGTCTTGCCCTACATGATGGTTACATGAGTGTTTATGACACATTGCTATGTTTTCCATTTTTGTTTTGGTTCATTTCTAAGTGTGCAGTCTAGCTATATGATAAAAATTATTAATTAGCAGAAATGGTCCATGAAAATTATTATTACTCTGCTCATTATATACTGAAGGGAAAAATCCACTATTTGTATACATTCATGTGTAACTCTAAGAGATTTTAAGTAGAAACTTTCTGATTTTAGTTGCAACTTTAGGAAACTTGACATGATGTTACCTGCCAACCACAGATTTCTGAATAGGTTTTTCTTTTAGGTTTAATTACCCACTTCATATGACAAAACTTGGACATTCTCTATTTTTTCCTTCGATCCTGAATTCCTGACACAACAATGGTGGGCATATTTCCCACACTCCTGATTTAGCAGAATACCTACATCACTTATGTTTTTCTGCAAGAGAAAACTGAGTTAGATAATTGTGTATCATTATGTCTTTGGATTACATTTTTCTAACCTAGGTTTGGTGGATGGCTCTGGTGATTGGAGATGGGCCACGTACTGCATCTTGCCGCTAGTTTGGCTGATTTAGGGTAGATAAGGCAGTGGCATTCTGACTCCATTAGTTTCTCTTTCTTCTTCTGGGAACAGTGTGCTAGCCAGATGATGTCCTCATGGTTAGTGGAAAAGAGCAGGAAACTTCAATATGGAAGCCATCTTAAATCTCTGTAAATTCTACTAATTTCCTGTTGACTGAAGCAAATTACGTGAGTGAATTCAGAGTCCAAGGTCAAGGTAGTCACCCTGCCTGAGGTGGGAGGGTACTGCAGGATTATGTGACAAAGAGTAGGGTACTTAGAAATATTTACAAAATTGCTGAACATTTTAATTAAATAATTAATGTTTAAACAAAACAGACTTGAGTGTAAATATACCAAAGGCCTAAGCTTGAGAAACATGTTTGATAAATATTATTCATTGTCTGACAGCCCTGAGTTGGAAAATAAGACTAATACCACCTGGATGAGTTCCTGGAAACTCATTTTCCATTTGGGGAATTATAAGAAAATAATTCCTTCCATGCCCTAAGGGTGTGAGTGCATGTGTGTCTATGTGTTTAGGAGCTTATTAACAATGATGTCATATCAATTTATTGGTTATCAGAAACCAGATTTTAAAGTGTATCAGCCTCCCAGGGATTTCCAAGATAATCTTGGATGATTTTGATAAAAGGTTTAGAATCTGGTATTTAAATCTGGCATAAAAATAAGTCCATATTGGTATGATCCTAGTTATGACCAAGCTCCTTTAACAATTTAGACATTTACTATATGATATATGTATTGGGTTTTACAATTTCCCTATGGAACAACTGAAGATGCTGTATACAAATTATGGAGAGGTTAAACAAGGAAAAAAATTGCAAAACAATGAAAAATAATATGCCTTTCTTTGCATACTAACACATGAGAATTCAATTTTCCACTTCAACCTCAGTATAAAAAAGTACAGCATATAGCAAGGAGAGAATGTATATGAAGAGGAGTGAATTTGAGCTGTTTTGAGAATAATGACCTTTTCTATTTCTATAAAGACAGTTTTGAATTCATCTATTAGCATATGCTGGTGCTTGCCTGTTGACACTAGTCACTGAATTTAAAGGCAGAAAATGTTATTGCACATTTAGTAATCAAGTGTTCATCGAAGTTAACATCTGGATGTTAAAGGACTCAGAACAAGTGTTACTAAGCCTGCATTTTTTTATCTGTTCAAACATGATGTGTTTTCTGCTCATCATTTCATCAATTCTGGTAGTGTTTGCATTTGTTCTTGGAAATGTTGCCAATGGCTTCATAGCTCTAGTAAATGTCATTGACTGGGTTAACACACGAAAGATCTCCTCAGCTGAGCAAATTCTCACTGCTCTGGTGGTCTCCAGAATTGGTTTACTCTGGGTCATGTTATTCCTTTGGTATGCAACTGTGTTTAATTCTGCTTTATATGGTTTAGAAGTAAGAATTGTTGCTTCTAATGCCTGGGCTGTAACGAACCATTTCAGCATGTGGCTTGCTGCTAGCCTCAGCATATTTTGTTTGCTCAAGATTGCCAATTTCTCCAACCTTATTTCTCTCCACCTAAAGAAGAGAATTAAGAGTGTTGTTCTGGTGATACTGTTGGGGCCCTTGGTATTTTTGATTTGTAATCTTGCTGTGATAACCATGGATGAGAGAGTGTGGACAAAAGAATATGAAGGAAATGTGACTTGGAAGATCAAATTGAGGAATGCAATACACCTTTCAAGCTTGACTGTAACTACTCTAGCAAACCTCATACCCTTTACTCTGAGCCTAATATGTTTTCTGCTGTTAATCTGTTCTCTTTGTAAACATCTCAAGAAGATGCGGCTCCATAGCAAAGGATCTCAAGATCCCAGCACCAAGGTCCATATAAAAGCTTTGCAAACTGTGACCTCCTTCCTCATGTTATTTGCCATTTACTTTCTGTGTATAATCACATCAACTTGGAATCTTAGGACACAGCAGAGCAAACTTGTACTCCTGCTTTGCCAAACTGTTGCAATCATGTATCCTTCATTCCACTCATTCATCCTGATTATGGGAAGTAGGAAGCTAAAACAGACCTTTCTTTCAGTTTTGTGGCAGATGACATGCTGAGTGAAAGAAGAGAAACCCTCAACTCCATAGATTCACAAGGGGAGCATCGTGGGTCTTCTAGCAGAAAACAAACTGATGGTGTCTGGAACATTTTATATTTCTATCAGTTTTTCCATAGTGTTTGTATGTGAGTAATTTCAAAACAGATACCTAGAAAAGTCATATATATATTTATGGGTGTATATGTGTGCATGTGTGTGAATAACAACGTTGACCATAAATTATGAAGCTGAGTATATTTCACATATATAGTATTTATATTTTATTATAGTTCATTGTATAGTATTTCATTTGAAGAATTTATTATCTCTCTTTATAATTAAGAACGTACAGCTTTTATGAAGAAATCATTTCTCTTTTCCATTGTAATTTGTACCACATATATGTGCTTAACTATCATTGGTGAACCTCTAATTTTTTGGATGGTAAAGACATTCAATTTTAAATCAATGATAAGAATGGATCTTTGGGGTAGGTTTTATTTCATTATGAATTCTTATTTTATGCTTAGTAGAAAGCAAATAGAATTGTTGTTAGTTAATGATGCACACAATAAAATTGGAGTGAAAAACATATGTAGAGTAAATTTTGTATATGTATACCAAAACAGTACTAAAGAATACTAGATTTAATACCAGTATGTGAATAGCCTAGAATAAAAATCATTTCTATAATAGGAATGAAGAAACATGCTGATGATCATTTCAGTGCTGTTATAATTTTTTTATCTGTAGTTAGAAAAGTCATTGCTTCCACTTTTTGAATTAAAGGAAACCTTTTTTGAAGTTGACATCTGATGTCAAGTATTTCCATTTATTTTTCTTAGCCACCTTGAGCCCCTGAATTTCCAATTTTCTCCTTTGTCTCCCATTCCTAATATTCCTCAAAAAAACTCAAATATTCTCTATCTTAAAAAAACAGGCCAATCAAAGGAGGGTATAGAAACTATAGAAGATAATCAAATGAAACTTTCCTCAAATGTTAAAAATTATGTAAAAATTACATAAAAATCTGTGAAATCTATATAATTGATAGGAAATGTATTAATGATATGTATTATTATAATGGTGTAAATGGTGAAATTACACAGTGTGTTGATGTATCCATTGATACCAAGTTCTATTATAAGAAGGAAATGTACAGCCTTGTTGAAGAGCTAAATTCTGTGTGACTGTGTTAATTCTTGGTGTTATGAAATTTTAACATTATTATGTAGAACTTAAAATAAGTTAACTCCACATCATATATATATCTATGTATCTATATCTATATCTATAGACATATATATATATATATATATATCTTGCTTATCATACGTCCTCCCTAGTACAATGTAATCACCATAAAAAGAGAGGTCATATCTGTCTCGCTTTCTCTTGACTCACAGGACCTAAAAGCCAGCACAAAGAATAGTTGGTCAAAAATGATATGTTAATGAACACATAAGTGATTGGATAAATGGATAATTTGATGTGGTAAATCAGTGAAAATGAAGCTCATCATAAAATCTGCAGTTGCTTGAATTTTCTATTTTCAGGTTGAGGTTATAGGCTTTTTGAAGAAGAAGCATTTCTCAGAGCAAAAGTTTGGCTAGTCCACAATTCTAGGGGAAATATCACTGTAATATAGCTTTGATGCAGCTATATCAGGTGTGTGAAGTAGAGACAAGGTGGAACGTCAAAATTAGATGGCACTTATTCTAATGCTTTTTGAAAAGCATATTAAAGATTTTGGTATATTTGCACAGGGTCAGGGTCACCTGTGAGTGCCAGCTGCTCGGGGCTAGCAGACCCCATGACAAGAATGTTAGGGAACTTCCCAGCAGCTGCCAAACACACTTTTGTTTTTAGGGAACGTCTCTTTCTCCTTCAGTATGACTTATGCTGCCTTCAATGCTTTGCTGATACAAAAGAAGTAAACTCAAAAGAAGTAAAAATAAAAGCTAGCAAACTTTGCAACTGATTAAGTTGGTTGGAAATGTACCTAATCACTTTCTACTATGAATGATATATTTGTATTATGATATTTTCTAGCTGGTTATCATATACACAAAAAGGCATTTCATTTTTAAAAATTGAGTTTGTAACCAGTCACCTTTCTTACACATTATTTGTATATTTTTTTAGTATCCTTTCTAAATGAATGTTTTAATTGCCATGTTATAAACGCATGGAAAAGTGATGCAACTGAATGTATATCTTAGCTTTGGGTGTCTAAAACTAGAGCCAATGTCTGAGTTTACAGTGATGACATTTATTTGGGAAGGCAAGTCCAGGGCAGCAATGAGGGGTAAATGTGGAAACTGAGGCAAAAGAAGATGTAAAACCATGTGTCGTGATGTTGATATGATTTTGCTGGTGGCCACTTCACAATTAGTGAGACAGACAGCATGGTGGTCATCAGATGCATGCACTTGGCTCCCCATACTTTTCCAGAAGGGTTACAAGGGGAAGCCACAACAAATATTAGTCCGTGGAAGAGAGAAAAGGGAGAATGTATCCTAGCTGTCTTCTGTCTTCTATTTCCCTTTGGCCAAAGTTTGTTTGAGGCAGAACTACCATCTTTGCTTTTCTTCCTTACATTATCCAACCCCTTGGTGGCTGTTTGGGAAAGTCACACTAACCAATACCCCCATTTTTCTAAGAGATAGTTTTTTTTTAATTTATTTTTTCTCTTTTCCTCTCCCCTTTCCCTATGTTTCCTGCTTTCTACTTAACTTTTTAGACATGCACATAGAACTGTTTACTTTCCCCCCACCAGACAGTCCCTTCGGGCGAGTTCATCTAACTATGTGCTCCACGAGGGATCTCTCCTTGAGACTTGACAGTTGATTTGCAGACAAAAGTATGCCCTCATGGAACTCTCACCTCCAGGGGTTCCCCTTAGACCTCACATCCATTAGGAGGGGATGTGGAAAGGATGCCCACGTGGCCACTTTTACAACTGCTGTCCTGCTCATTTCCTTCCCTACTTTATAAAACGTTCACTTTCTGCTCCAAAGATGAAGTGTCACGTTGGAAGGCAGGATGCTTTGTGCCCCTTCCAGCAAGCTAACTTCCAAATAAATTCTCTATTTTTATATCAGACCTTGTTCTTGTTAATTAGACTTTACATGAAGTGAGCAACTAAGCTTTTCTGTTACAAGACTTCATGCCCACAGATACATTCAAGTCCCAGGTGGAAGGATGATCTGGATTAGGCAAGGTGCTGACCATGGGAACAGGAGACAGTCAAGGGAATCTGAGGAAGCACATGTTTGTGTCCAATATAGTCCCCTCCTTGTGCCACTCAGATGTGCTCATGCCCTCCAACTGTGGCTGGTTTTATAAGCAGATGCCTTGTGTAGTTGCACGGGGTCTTGTGCTTGAGGGGCTTTTTGCTTGGATTAATGTTCTGCACTTGCATTTTTATTTTTCAGACAGCGGATACTCCTCCACTGAAGAGGGAATAGTTCTGCAGTAATTCCCTAGGGGTTTGCTTTCTCCTCTCCTACGGGCTTGATGGAGACAGGCACAGAGTCCTGTGATGCCCACGTTGCATGCCTCTAGCAGCTTTGAATTCTGCTGGATCATCTGGCACAATGGGCCGAGCAGGTTGGGCCAGACCCTGTATCTGCTGTAGAGATATTATATGTTCTGGATTCCACTTGAAACCAGGAGTCTTTGCATTCATTCTGTAACCCATCTGGTTTTGGCAGAGGCTAGGTAGGTTAACTGAACAGGGATTTAAAAAGGACTTTATTAACACATCAGAGCAATATCCTCTACTGTGGTATTTTTGGACTCCAAAATCCCTAGAGGCTCAATAAACGCCGTGCTTCTCTTTTAGTGATAGGAAGTATATAGGAAGCCATTTACCTTAAACAGGATGTTTCTGCTCGGCATGGTGGTTCACGCCTGTAATACCAGCACTTTGGGAGACCAACGCAGGCAGATCACTGGAGGCCAGGAGTTTGAGACTAGCCTGAGCAACATGGTGAAACCCCATCTCTACTTAAAAAAAAATACAAAAAAATTTAGCCAGGCATGGTGGCCAATGCCCGTAAACCCAGCTACTCAGGAGGCTGAAGGATTTGAATTGATTGAACCCAGGAGGCGAAGTTTGCAGTGAGCCGGGATTGCAACACTGCATTCCGGCCTGGGCAACAGAGCGAGACTCTATCTCAAATATAAATAAATTAATTAATTAATTAATTGATTTTTCAACATGTGGACCAGGAATATGGGATCCCTGAAAACAATATCTGCGTTGGTGTTCTCTAAATATTTTCAGGCATGTCTCTTTCTTCTGATATTTTATTTCTATTTAATGTTTAAGTATTTTACTATAATTAGGTAACTTTCCATTTCCTGGTTATTGTACCAATTACCGTAACGTTATTAATATATTAAATTAACATGATGTTTTCCAAAATGTAAATTAAACTGAGAGCAGAAGTGACAAAGCCCTGACATAAAACAGTGAAGCAGTGCTCTTGTTTTTACCACACAAAGGCCAATTGTTTTAATCTGCTGACCCACCCATGGGTGTAAAATAAGAAACATTCACTAAATCAAGAGCCACATGCAAACTGCCAGGAGCTCTGCTCTGCTCAGGGAAGATACCACATCCTAGAGAGCATTTGTAAGTAGTGATTTAAATTTATGGAAATCTGCATTCATTTTATAGTGTATCTGGTTTTGGTAGAGGCCAGATAGGTTAAGTGGATAGGCATATAAAAAGACTACCATCCCCTGCAACTTTCAAGTGTTTTGTCATGGTAGTGATCAATTCCATTCCTTGGAGAATGTGATTATTATTTTTCAATCATTGTTGCCAGTGGAGGAGAATTTCACAGGCTTCCCCTTGGTTCTGCTCTAATAATGTCCCTGACTCTACAGGTCAGGAAGAAAGTGAGAGTCCTGCCAGCTGCCATGTGTGTCCATTACACATTCAAGAAGAGGCAATAACGGCAAACTGATTAGATCCACCTTGGGATGGACATGAGTCAAAACTCTAGGTAGCATCTGACCTTCAAAACTCCCTCTGCAGGCTGGGTATGATGGCTCATGCCCGCAGTCCCCGCACTTTTGGAGGCGGAGGTGGGAATATCTCTTGAGGCCCAGAGTTGCAGACCACCTTGGGCTACACAGTGACAGCCTGTCTGTACAAAAACTAAAAAACAGAAAAAACAACAACAAAAAATTAGTTTGGCATGGTGGTACTCACCTGTAGTCCCAGTTACCCAGAAAGATGAGACAGGAGACTCCTTTGGACCTATAACCAATATGCGAGTCCGTTGCTGGCCGCATGCAGTGTCCAGTTAACAAAAGTGAGGTCTGGTACAAAAGTAATGAATTTATTCCAAACCTAGCTTGGGGAAGGAGCACAAAGTGTCTTGCCTTTAAGTGTACCACTTCACCTTTGGAGCAGAAAGCAGACACTTTTATAAGGTAAGGAGGGATACTGAGCAAGGGTAGAGGGTCCTCATGCAGGCTTGGTGCCTTATCTATCAGACAGTTGAATTGGTGCCTTCCTGTGCAGAAGTAACTTGTAAAAGTGGCCAAGTGGGTATGCTTTCAATATGCCCTTCTGTTGGGTGAAAGTCCTCAGGCAACTCCCAGAGTGGAGCACAGTCTGGAAGTTCCAAGTCCATTTCCTGGAGGTAAACATTCCTTGGTGGGTGTGCTTTGGTCTGCAAATTGACTGTCAATTCTCAGAAGAGATCTGTCTTGCTGCACATAGTTAGAAGAACGTGCCCTGCAGGGAATGTCTAGTGAGTGGGGGTGAAAGGTTATATTTGCATTTATGAAGGGCTAAGCAGGAAACAGGGAACAAAAGGAAAGGGGAGATAAGAGAAAATAATAATAAAAAAATAGTAACTCATTCCCTGTTTCTTAGAAAAAATGGGGCACTCTGTTACAAACCCAGGAATTCAAGGCTGTAGTGAGTTATGATTTGCCACTGTACTACATACCTCCTAAGTGAAGGATTGAGACTGTGTATCTAAAAAACCCAAATGCAAATAACACACACACAAAAAGAAAATTTTAAAAAATCTCCCACTTCATCTCATGGACTGCAGTGTCTTTTGAGTACCCAGATATTACTGTTAGTTCAGGCTCTGTTGGAGTGGCCAATATCTGGTTTACTGGAGGCAATTTGGTACGAGTCTGCAGCAACTTCAAGTCTAACCTCCTCAGAAGAAAGAATTCAACTGAGGGGCATAAGGCGGAAAAAGAGACTGAGGGAAGTTTCTGAGCAGCAATGGAAGTTTATTAAAAAGATTTAGAGCAGGAAAGAAAGGAAAGTACACTTGGAAGAGACCACAGTGGGCATTTTGGAGGTCAAGTGCAGTGTTAGACCTTTGACTTGTGGTTTTATATGTTGGTATACTTCTGGGGTCTTGTGTTCCTTTTCCCACGATTCTTCCCTTAGGGTCTTGTGTTCCTTTTCCCATGATTCAGCCCCTTAGGGTGGGCTGCTCACATGTGTGGTGGCCTGCTAACACTTTGGAGGTGAGCATGCGCAGTGTGTTTACTGGAGTTGTACACATGCTTGCATGAGGCATTCTTCCCTTTTTTGGTGGAATGCCCCCAGAAGGTTGTTTTCTACCGTTTTCTCTCTTAACACGTATGCCTCAGCCTACTCGCCCTATTCCTGAGCTGCTGACTAGCAATTTTAAGCATCTTTACTTATTGTGAAATTGCCTCTCCCTGGTGCCTGTGAGCAATTATCATTTTTAGAGAGGCAGTGTGACAACTGCCAGGCCATCACCTGATGGCCACCTGACATTCCTGGTGGGTGGTGAGAGCCTTCTTCTGCCCCGCTCATGCCTGACTAACTATCTACTGTAAGAGCCCTATACCTAAAAGTCTCAGATGGTGTGGATGTGTGTCCTTTCCTCTGGGTACTGTTATCTGGGAAATGGCTACAGGTCTTTGAGAAAGCACCGTATGAATACGTCCTGAATATTCTTGTGGTGAATTTTCAGCATCCTTTTCAAGGGGACTTACACTTTCCTTCAATTATTGAATTCTTGTTCTCGGAATTGGCTCAGTCCTGACAACAGGTTGAGGTTCTTTGATTTTCCACTTCAAAGGCTGACCTCAGGAATCAGTTTTTCAGCCTTTGAAGTGAAAAGGCTTGCTCTTGGTTTATAAGTATTTTTCAAAGTATGAAGCCTCTTTAACTATTGGCTTATGAACTCATTCCAAGAAGCTGATGCTGTCATCAGTTCATTGATTCTGACATTTGCAAGATCACCAGAGAGTCTATGTTCCCAAGGTTAGTCATCATGTTGCATGCTCTATTAGCTGCATTGAACTTAGTTTATTTAGATTTCAGGATGCTGCCCTCTCCTGATTTTATCCTTATCCCCTGGGCACTACTTCTCAATCTCCTTTGCTAGTTCTCTTTTGTCTCTAAACTGAAAATATCAGACTGCCCAAGGTCTCAATTCTTCAATCTCTACAATGATGCCTGTTGTGTTGGTGATCTCATGTAATCTCTTTACTGACAATGTAGCCAAGTGATTCAACAGACAGGAATAAGGCTGATTATCCATTTATATTATTTATTTATTCACGCATGTTGGCATATAGCACATTATGTAAATATTTTTCCTTCAAATGTCAAATGTACATTTTGAAGTAACAGTACCAGGGTGGATGCTGTGGCTTAAGCCTGTAATTGAGCACCTTGGGAGGCTTAGGCAGGCAGATTTCTTGAGCCCAATTATTGGAGACCAACCTGGGAAACATGGTGAAACCCAGTCTCTAGTAAAAATACAACAATTAGCCAGGTATAGTGGTGTCCACCTGTAGTCCTAGCTACTTGGGAGGCCAAGGTGGGAAACAGATTGAGGCTGGGAGCTATAGATTGCAGTTAGCCAATCTCAAACCACTGCACTCCAGTTTAGGCTCCAGAGTGAGACCATGTCTCAAAAAATAAAAATCTAGGGAGAATCAATAATATTTTTGCTTGAATTTCCACTAAATGAGATTGAGGGTAGCCCAGCATCTAATTTAGTTTTATTTAAAATAGTAATTTTAATATCAATAGATTGATAGGCAGGGGATTATTATTATTATAGACATAATGATCTAAGTAGAGAAATACACAGATAGAATTATGGTTGATTAACCCACTTGTATTACTTGCAATTGTACAGTTAGTATGTTTTAGTATCTTAGTTACTAATCTCACTTTTTACATTTAGCTCTATAATCAATTAAATATGAGTTATTTTTTGTGTATGGTGTGAAATAAGAATAGAAATTTATCTTTATGCATGTGGATATTCAATGTTCTCGGTATCATTTGTTGAAAAAATGATTAATTCCTATTGAACTGCAGTGGTACCATTTTTGAAATCAATTACCATCAATGTCAGTGTTAATTTCTGGACTCTCAGTTGTGTTTCATTGTTCTTTTGTCTACTGTAATGCCAGTACCACAGAATTCTGATTAGTGCAGCTTTGTAGTTAGCTTTGAAACCAGAAAGTGTAATCCTCCAAATGTGTTATTTTATCAAGATTTATTTTGGTGATCTGGTCACTGGGTATTTTCAGATATATTTTAGGACTGGTTTTTCACTTTTTGCAAAACAGGCTTGTTGGGATTTGATAGGGATTGCACTGAGTATATAAGTTGACCCTTCACCTGCAAAGACTCTCCTTGTGCTGGATTTCAGTTCAGCTGGCCCTCCTTGCTTGTACAACTCTGTGATGAATTGAATATATAATTTTGGCCTTTTATTACTCTTATCCTAGTTGTTGCAGAAGGATATCTTGCCTTTCTGAACCTTCTGTATTCTGCTCAAAAATGGAAGTTCTCAGCTAGGTGCAGTTCACGCCTGTATCCAAGCATTTTGGGAGACCAAGGTGGGAAGATCATATGAGCCCATGTTTTCAAGACCATACTGGGCAACATAGGGAGACCCCATTTCTACAAAAAAACTGAAAAATTAGCTGGCTGTGTTGGTGCACGCCCATAGTCACAGCTACTCCAGAAGCTGAGGTGGGAGGATCTCTTGAGCCCAGGAGTACAAAGCTGAAGTGAACTACCACTGCACTCCAGCCTAGGCGACAGAGCAACATCCTTTCTCAAAACAAAAAAGGAAAAGTGGAAGTTTTCACTGGTATCTTTTAAGTATCAAGTAACACAGAATCAAAAGAATAACTAATAATCCTCGGTTCCTGCCTGCACTGAACATGTAAAATTGAAAGCAGTTATACATATACTATACTAGCACCTCATAAGGACTACCCAGAGTATTATTATCATCTGCGTTTTATACATAATTATACTGAGGTAGAGAGAATTCGTAAAATGGAGTCTCAGATCATAGCTATATAAAGCAGAAAATCTGGCTTCCTGTCCTGGCAGACTGACTCCAAGATCTTCTCCTAGAAACAATTATACTATAACAACTGGAAAGAAATAATATCCAATATTGAAGACCGATTTTTAACATCTATTCATCTTAAACCATTAAATAATAAAAAATACATTAGAGAAAAATAAAAGTGAAAATTTACATACAGAGAAGTGTAGGCTCTTCAATGGAATACACATGTTTTTTAAGTGCCCAAGGAATATTTACAAAATTGCTAAATATTTTAATTAAACAATTCATATTTAAATATTAACTAGACTCAAGAAAATGACTTACTCAAAAGCCTAAGCATGAGACACAAGTTTATAAATATTGAAAATGGGCTGAAAACATGATTGGGAAATTAGGGCTATTTCAACTTGGATGACCTGCCTGAAATTCATTTTCCATTTTGGAAATTACAGGACAATAATTCCTCCCATCCATGAGGAGCATGTATGTGTGTGGGCACATAAGTTTGTGTTAATGAGCTTGTTAAGAATAAAGTTATACAAAAGTATTAGTTAGCAGCAACCAGATTTTAAGGAATGTTGGCCTTCCTGGGCTTCCCAAGAAAACCTTGGAGTCTTTTAATAAGAAAACTTTGGATTCTGTCTACATAAATCTGACATTGAAAAAATAAATTCACAGTGGTCATGATTCTGGTTATGACCAAGTTCCATATGACAGTTTAGACATCCAATGTAGGAATTATGAGTTGGGTTTTAAAATTTCCATAACAACTGACATTGCTGAACACAAATTATGGAGAGGTTAAACAAGGAAAAATATTGCAAAACAATGAAGGAAAATATGTCTGTATTTGCATGCTAGCAAATGAGAATTCACCTTTCACTTCAACAACAGCATGAAAAATTTCATCTTATAGCCAGGACATAGTGTTTGAATAGAAATTTAATTGAGCTGTTTTGGGAATTATTGTGTTCTCCATAAAGACAGCCTCAAACTCATCCATTAGCACACCCTGGTGCTTTCCTGTTTGACACTGGTCAGAGAATGTAAAAGGAAAAAGAACATTACTGCACATTCAGAAATCAGGTGCACATAGAATTTAAGGTCAGGACCTTACAGAGAATCTTGTCCAGTGATAATACGCCTGCCTTAAAAAAATTCAGACATGGTAGGTTTATTACCAATCTTTTTTTGTGCTAGTAATGGTAGAATTTATTTTTTCCTGTGGACACCTACGTTAAACTTATAGACTACTTTTACATTTTAACATTTTTTTCCTTTGAGTTCTTTTAGGAGTTGTTAAACAATCCTGAAATTTCCCTTACAATATGCTACAAACTAATCATAATTTCTCAAATTCATTTGACATAATGATTGATTAAAGAAATATGTGTAGTATAATTACACCTGCTCATAACAAGAGTATTTGAAACTTCAAGAAAAAATAGAGAAATTAATAAAGAAATATGAATAAATATATGGAATATATAATTCATTCTTAATAAATGTGCATGAAATCAGTCATGTAATTAAAAAGCAACATAATTTTTTGAACTAAAAATACATTCTGAATTATAATAGAAAAATGTTTCTAAAATGTTAACTTTAATAATAGTGTATGTAAATATCAGTGTAAAATTTAATCTGATGTTACTAATTTTGGAAAGGATATGACACAATAGAAATTTTCATACACTACTCTTAGGATTATAAAGTACAATTACTTTGGCTGAATATGGCATTACCTGATTAAGGCGAAGTATTTTTTATTGTACCACACTTTAGAATGTGGTAAAATGAAACAATATCAAGTAAATCATTGGGAATATGTTGGTTTTAAGTTATTCTTGATGAAATATTACCTGAGGGTGTTTGTCTAGACCTGATACTGAGAATAATATAAGAATTATAAGGCCATGAAGAAAAATTAAAATAGTGTTCTCCCATTGCCCTGAATTCCAGCACTTAGGAAACATGATTGAAGTCACATTTACAGAATAAAATAGTCCCTTTTAGCTGACATCAACATCATCATCAATCATCTACACCTATCTCATTAAATGATTTATTTTTCATTGTACATGATTTTGATAATGTCTAAGACATTTTTAAAAGATTATCATTTTGGGAAATTTGCATTAGTGAAAGCAAAGCTCAAGTCAAGCTGAATACATTTAGATTTAGAAATTAAGTGAAGTTTAGTTTAAAATGCATTGCTTAAGCAAGTAATTGTAGATGACCTTAAACTAATCCATTGAAGGCTATAAGAAAGAGTTTGATTTTAGTGTAAATAAAATTCCTTAATTAGAAAGGCAATTAAACTGTTTCATGATCAAGCTCTTATTCCTAAAGAGAGGATTTTAGATTAAATAAATCAAACAGAAGTAAGCCCTCACATCTTCTCTATCTCGCTTGGGTAATGATGGAGTTCAAAGTCACAGAGCCCCATTTCTACAACATAAACAAAGTAAAAATTAGTTCATAAAATAGAATGATGTAGTTGTGGTTTAGGGACTATTTTTTATTTATTGGAATTGCATTTTGAGATCCAAAGCTGCTTATTGAATTTCCATATGAGGAGAGTTTGTGTGAGGACCCAGCAACAGACAAGCTGTTTTCCAGAAAAAGCTACTCACATCAAATTAATATCCGGTTTCTTTAAAATTGCAGGAACATGGCTAGACCAAGCTTTTATTCTATTATCTGACCAGAGTTGGGAATAGAAGAAAATTGTTACTATTTTCATGGCTAGAGTACTAACAACTCCAGAAAAATACAAGGCTGGAGGGTAAGAGACACTGACGCTATGGTCAGAATATCTAACATACTTCTGGAGTTCTGGAGGATTAGAGATGAGAAATGGGGCAAAAGCAATGTTTGGGAAATTTTTCCAAAAATGATGAAATGTATATATTTCCATCTCTATATATTTAGGAGCCATCAAATTTTGGACAAGATAACTAAAAAATTTAAAATAAAATGACACAGGACATCAAAGACCAATAGAAAATCTGAAAAGTAGCTAGAGGTGAAAGGTAGATTATGTTAAAAAGAGCCACATTCTAAATAACAAACTGATTTTCAACAGAAAATATGAAAGCGGGAATTCAATGGAATCATATCTTCAGTGTGTTTCCAAGGAACAGTAGACTTTTATAGACAGAAATTAAAAATGATATTTTTTCAGATAAAATATAAACTACCAAAAATACAAAATTGAGCATGCAAGAAGGAATAAAAATTAATGAAAATGATAAATATGTACATAATTATAAGTGAATGTTTACCATCTAAAATAATAGTATCTTCTTGTTGGACTAAAGGTGTAATTGATAAGATATATGCAAATAGTAATAAAGAGACTGGAGTTACAGAAATAAATTTAGTTAAAGTATTTTTTGGACTTTTCTATGTCTGTGGGCAGAATTTGTACATCTTAATCAAGGACCCTATAATTCTATACCTAGGCATATATGCAAAGGAATTGTAGCAAATGTATATGAAAGAATGCTCATAGTAGCATTATTCATAATAGTTCATAAAAGAAGCTGTCCAAGTATATATCAACTAAGGATAGATAATTATAGTAAATTCATAAAATTAAACAATATAGAGAAATGAAAAGAAATAAATCACATGTACATGCATCTGTCTGATTAAATTTCAGATTCATAATGTTAAGTCCAGGAAGCCATGAATAAGAACATATAGGATTGCACCTATACACAGTTCAAAGCAGGCCAAACCAAGCTATTGAGTTTAGGGTTGCATACCTTGTTGATAAAGTATAAAGAAAATCAAGGAAATGATCATCACAAATAATGGATATTGCTTACCTCAGGAGATATGAAGAAAGGTATAGAGGCTTGGAAAGTGTCATGGAGGTGGAACTAGGCTGTTTGCAGTGTTCCTTGTCTTGCCCTACATGATGGTTACTCGACTGTTTATGATACATTGCTCTATTTCCCAGTTTTCCAGTTTTGTTTTGGCACATTTCTATGTATGCATTATAATTTTAATATAAAAATTTTGAATTAGGAGAAATGTCTCATAGAAATTATTAATCTTCTCATTACGTACTAAGGGGAAAAGAAACTACTTATATGCATTCTTATACAACTCTAGAGAGTTGAAGTAGAAACTTTCTTATTTTAGTTACAACTTGTAGAAATTTGACATCATGTCACCTGCCAACCCCGTATTTTTCCGTAGCTTTATTTCAGTTTTTTTCTTTCAGCTTTAATTATGCACCTCACATGACAAAACTTTGATATTCCTCATCTATTTTTCCCTTGGCTTCAGGATTCTTGACACAACAAGGGTAGACATATTTCCCACTCTCTTGGCTTAGCAAAGTATTTCTATCATTTAGCATCATTTTAAAAAGAAACTTCTCCAAAACTACATTAGATATTTATATCTCACATGTCTTTAGATTCCATTTTCCTAAGCTGGGTTTGGGTGGATCACTCTGGTAATTTGAGATGGGCCATGTTCTGCATCTTGAAGTTAGAGTTTGGCCAATTTAGGCTACATCTGGAGGGGGGGATCTCATTCTCATTCTGCTTCTGGGAATGGTGTACTAGTGTGGGGATGTGCTTGTGGTAAATGGAGAAGAGCAAGAAACTCCAATGTGGAAGCCATCTCAAAGACGTATACAAAATTTACTAATTTCCAGTTCATCAAAGCAAATTACATGAGTGAGCTCAGATTCCAAGGTCAAGGTAGTCACCCTGCCTATGGCAGGAGGACACTGCAAGATAATATATCAAAGGATGAGGGAGTCAAGAGTATTTACAAAACAGCTGAATAGTTTAATTAAATAATTAATATTTAAACATTAAATAGACTTGAGAGTAACTTTACCAAAGGCCTAAGCATGAGAAATATGTTTGATAAATATTATTCTGGTCTGAAAACCCTGAGTGGGAAAACAGAACTAATTCCACCTGGATGACCTTCTGGAAACTCATTTTTTCATTTTTTTAAATTAAAAGAAAATAATTCCTTCCAACCCCAATGGGTTTAAGTGTGTGTTTTTGTGTTTATGAGCTTGTTAACAATAAAGTCATATAAAAGTATTGGTTAGCAGCAACCTGATTTTAAGGCGTATTGGCCTTCTTGTGGTTCCCAAGAAAACCTTGGATGATTTTGATAAAAGGTTTGGGTTCTGTATATTTAAATCTAGCATTAAAAAATAAATCCATATTTATACGATCCTAGGTATGACCAAGCTCTTTTAACAGTTTAGACATTTACTGTATGACATATGTATTGGGTTTTAAAATTTCCCTATGAAACAACTGAAAATGCTGAATACAAATTATGGAGAGGTTAAACAAGGAAAAACATTGCAAAACAATGAAAAAGAATATGTCTTTTTTTGCATACTAGCAAACGGGAATTCACCTTTCACTTCAACATCAGTTTTAAAAATTTCAGCGTATAGCAAGAACAGACAGTGGAATAGGATTCAATTTCAGCTATTTTGGGAATAAGAAAATTTTCCATAAATGCAGCATTGAACTCATCCATTAGCATATGCTGGTGCTTTTCTGTTGACATTAGTCAAATAATTTAGAAGCACAAAGAATATTATTACACATTTAGGAATGAAGTGTATATCCAATTTAAGGTCTAGATATTAAAGGAATCACAATCTGTGTTATTAGGCCTGCATTTTTCCTTTCTTTTTGTCTCTTCAGACATGTTAAAATTTCTACTTATCATTTTGTCAACTCTGTGTGTTTGCATTCGTTCTTGGAAATTTGTCTCCACAAAAATGTTAAAATTAGCAGGCTTGGTGGTGCATGCCTGTAGTTCCAGTTACTTGGCAAGCTGAGGCAGGAAGGCAAGAGTATCACTTGTGTCCAGGAGTTCAAGACTACGGCGAGGTATGATTGTGCCACTGCACTCCAGCTTGGGTGAGAGAGCAAGAGCCTGTCTCAGAAAAAAAAAAAAAAAAAAAGAAAAGGAGAAAAGAAATGGAAGTTTTCACTGGCACCTTCTAAATATCTAGTAACACAGGATCAAATCAGTAACTAACCATCTTTGTTTTTTCCTGTCCCAGACAGGTAAAATGGAAAGCAGTTATACAAATGCTATACTAACTCCTCACAAAGACTACCCAAAGATAATATTATCATCTGTGTTTTTTGGTGATCATACTGAGGCAGAGAGCAGTTGTGAAATGGAGTCTCAGAATCGTCGCTATATGAAGCAGAAAAACTGGTTTCCTCTCTTGGCAGTCTGACTCCAAGATCTCTTAGAAACAATTATACTGTAAAAACCTGAAAAAGAAGTAAAAAACAAGATTGGAGACTAATACTAACATCTATTCTTCTTAATAGCATAATCAAAAATAAATTAAACAGAAAAATAAAAGTGAATATTCATACCAAGGGAAGTCTAGAGTCTTCAGTGGAAAATACATATTTTTTAATAAGTGCCCAAGGAATATTTTAAAAATTGCTGAATATTTTAATTAAACAATTCATATTTAAATATTAGCTAGATTCGAGAGAATAACTTATTCAAAAGCTTAAGCACGAGAGATAAGTTTATAAATATTGAAAATTGACTGAAAAGGGTGAGAGGGAAAATAGGGCTATTTCAACCTGGACGACTTGCCTGAAATTGGTTTTCCATTTTGGAAATTACAGCACAATAATTCCTCCCATCCATGAGGGGCGTGTATGCATGTGTGTGTTTGTGTTAATGAGCTTGTTAACAATAGACTTATACAAACATATTAGCAGCAAGCAGATTTTAAAGAGTATTGGCCTTTTTGCACTTTCCAAGAAAACCTTGGATTCTTTTGATAAGAAAACTTTGGATTCTGTTTACATAAATCTGACATTTAAAAAATCAATCCACAGTGGTCATGATTCTAGTTACAACAAAGTTCCTTTTAACAATTTAGATATCCAATGTAGGAACTATGTGTTGCTTTTTAAAATTTCCCTAACAACTGACATTGCTGAACACAAATTATGGAGAGGTTAAACAAGGAAAAGTACTACAAAACAAGGAAACAGAATATGTCTTTATTTGCATGCTAGCAAATGAGAACTCATTTTTCACTTCAACATCAGTATGAAAAATTTCATCTTATAGCCAGGACATAGTGTTTGAATAGAAGTTAATTTGAACTGTTTTAGAAATTATCATGTTTTCCATAAAGACAGCATTGAATTCATTCATTAGCATGCCCTGGTGCTTTCCTGTTTGACACTGGTCAGAGAATTTAAAAAGAACAAGAGCGTTAATGCACATTCAGAAATCAGGTGCACATAGAATTTAATGTCAGGACCTTAAAGGGAATCTTATCCAATGATATTAGGCCTGCCTTAAAAAGAATTCAGACATGATATGTTGATACCAATCATGTTTTCCATACTGGTAATGGTAGAATTTGTGTTTTACCATGGACAGCTATTATTAAACTTATAGACTATTTTTATATTTTAATATTTTTTCTTTGTTTCCTTTTAGGAGTTGTTAAACAATCCTGAAATTTCCCCTACAATATGCCATGAACTAATCATATTTTCTCAAAGTCATTTGACGTAATGATTGATTAAAGGAAATATCTCCAGTATAATTACACTTGTTCATAACAAAAAAGTATTTGAAACTTCAAGAAAAAATTAGAAAAATTAATAATGAAATATGAACAAATAAATGTATGAAATATATAATTAATCCCTAATAAATGTGCATGAAATTATAGTCATAGAATTAAGAGTGATGTAATTTTTCAACTAAAGATGCATTCTGAATTATAATAGAAAAAGGTTTGTAAAATGTTAAGTTTAATAATATTTTATTTATTTTTGAGACAGTCTCACTTCGTGGTCTAGGTTGGAGTGCAGTGGTGTGATCTCAGCTCACCGCAACCTCCGCCTCCGGGTTCACTCAATTCTCCTGCCTCAGCCTCCTGAATAGCTGGGATTACAGGTGTGCATCACCACACCAGGCTAATTTTTGTATTTTTAGTATTTTTTGTATTTTAGTATTTTTTCACCATCTTGGCCAGGCTGGCCTTGAACTCCATACCTGAGGTTATTCACCCACCTTGGCTTCCCAAAGTGCTGGGATTACAGGCGTGAGCCACCGTGCCTGGCCAAGTTTAATTATATTTTATATAAATATGAAAGTGCAAAAATTACTCTACTAATTTTGGAGAGCATATGAAGCAGTGGGAATTTTCATACACTGCTCCTAGGATTATAAATTAGTGCAATTACTTTGTCTGAGTGTGACATTATTTGAATAAGATGAAGGATCACATCCTAAGACCCAGGATTTGCACTCATATCAGAATACATATACAAGTATATATCGCTGAGTTTTAATAGCTAAAGTTGAGAAGTCTCCCAAATGACCATCAGTAATAAAATGGATAAATAAATTATGACATACTTACAGAATGCTATACAGCAATCAAAATGAACAAACTAGAGGGACATGTTTACAAAGAATATATATGAAAAGGAAAGTGAATAAATTTGATTTACATGGATAGCATAGTAATATATACAGATATAATAGTAATTATTAACATCAAAAACATTCAATATAATCACATTTATATGAAATTTGCAAGAATATTTTTGTATTTTTGCAAATAAATTCTTATAATTGCTTATAAAAGAAATTATAAATTCTTATAACTCCTTACCAAAGAAATTATAACATTTTATAAAAGAAATTATAACTTCTCATAAAAGAAATTTTATTTTAAGTTTTTATAATTCTTATAATTTGAAATAAATTCTTATAATTTATTACATTGGTGGCAAAACTGTAAAGCGAAACATATAAGTGATTATCATAACTGGGATACTTGGGAGGGAGGAAACAAAAGGGAAATCATATCAACAAGAAAGCATATATGGGGAATGTCTTCATTGCTGGCAAATTCTACTTTTTGACGAAAGTGTGGAATATGAGTGTTAATGTTACATTCTTTTTTCCTTTTACTGTGCATTTAGGTTTTATTGCTTTCCCTACATATGTTAGGTTCCCGAATAATGAAAATATTTTAAAAGCAGAAATATTAAGTAAATTAATGAATATAAAACTAGGCTGAAACAATATATTCTTACATGTACCATCGTAATTAGAGTTTTGCTGAATAAAGAATACAGCATTATAGTAGTAAGAAATAGGGATAAAATTTTATACTTTTAAAAATTAATTTAAAAAAGAAAGATATAAGCAGGAAGTGTACATCCACATTCTTAATGCTAATCTTAATTTGAAACAATAGATTTTGAACAACTATATTGCAATAGACTTTTTTCTTGTTTCCAATTTAATTATTCATGATACACGTTTCAAATTGGCAGCAATTAGGGAATTTTTCATAAGGTACAAATATTAAAGTATGTAGGACTATAGATATTAAGTGTATAGGACAATTTTTGCTACATTTATCCCTAAATGAAATAATTATACTCATGTTGTTCCCATTCAAAGATCACAATACTATGCATGTGCACAGCATATGTGTTGGGGAAAATATTTTGTTACTATAAATTTTTCAACTGTATTAGAGAAGAAAACATAGAAAGATAACTGTTAAGCTATAAAACATATTTAGTGTAATCTTTGAGTGTGCTTGTGTATATGTAGTATTACTTTGACTGCTATAGTAAAATAACCCAGATTTAGTGACAGTAGCTGAGATTGTAAATAAGCAGTTGAGAGAATTTTGCCTGCTAATGATACTATTAAAAGATAAAATACAGTTTGTATGCTATATAATTGTATAGAGGATTTGTATATATGAAGTTCATATGAAAGTACAGTGAAAATTAAACAGCCCAAAGGAGAATACTCTTTGTTGTAGGGCACTTTTGTCATGATTTTCAGAATGTGGTAAAAGAAAAAAAAATAGCCAGTAAATCATTGGAAATACATTGGTTTTAACTTATTCTTAATGAAATACTGTCTGAGGATCTTTGTCTGTGCCTGATGCTGAGAATAATATAAGAAACAAGTTCATGAGCCCATCACCCTGAAACGCAGCACTTAGAAAACATGATTGAAGTCACATTTATAGAAGAGCATGGCCCCTTTTAACTGACATTATCATCATCACCAATCATCATCTATATCTATCTCATTAAATGATTTATTTTTGAAATGTTTACATAAATAATTTGGATAATGTCTAATAAATGTTTAAAAGATTATTATTATGGGAAAGTTAGATTAGAAAATGGAAAATTTCAAGTTGAACCAAATACATTTTTAAGTATAGTTTAGTTTAAAATACATTGCTTAAGCAAATCATTATAGATAACCTTAAACTGATCTTAGGAACACTATAGGAAAGATTTAGTTGCGGTGTTAATAAAATTCCTTAATTAGAAAGATAAATAAGCCACTTCATGATCAAGCTCTTACTTCTAAAGTGAAGGTTTTATTTTATTTATTTTTTAACCTTTCCACATTTTATTGACAAAGAATTAATAGTATAAATTACGTTTATATTGCAAAGTTTATTTATGGAAATTTGATACGTGTACTTCTACTCCTTTTTACACCTTACATGAATATTTAAATAATTGATTTATAACACTCCCTGATGCCAGGTAAAGTAAAGCCTAATCGCAGTTCAGAAACTCACATGTACAACAAATTTAACTTTCTGGATATTTTTAAAACTCAGCTTAATTTCCCTAGGTGCTCCATTAACCTGATGGCAGAAATTAAATCTTAAGCAACTCTGGGTTCTCCCACAAGCACACTTTGCTTCAGAGTTGTGCTGAAGTTTTGAGGAGGATGGGAGGAGGCAAGGAGGTGTCCAGTCCTTTGTGCATCTATCCCCTGGCATTCTCCCATCCTGCCCCAAGTCATCAGCCCACACAGGTTGCTGGCACATTTAAAGTGAGAATTTTAGGACTAAATAAATCAAATAGAAGTAAGCCCTCACATCTTCTATATCTCACCTGATAGTGAAGAAGTTTGAAGGTACAGAGCTCCACTTCTGCTAATAAAAAAAGAGTAAAATTTAATTTGTAAAATAGAATGGTGTAGCTAGGGTTGAGGTGCTATAATTTATTTATTGGAATGGCATCTTGAGATCCAGCACAGCTCATTGAATTTCCCTGTGGGGAGAGTTTGTGGTGAAGGCTCATCAACAGACAAGCTGCTATCCCCCCCTAAAAAAAAAAGCTACTAACATCACATCAATTTCCAGGTTCTTCCAACTTGCGGAAGGATGTGTAGACCAAGCTTTTATTCTATTTTGTGACCAAAGTCTTGGGAAAAGAAGAAAATTGTTAGCATTTTCATGTCAAGCATACGAAAAACAAAAAAACAAAGCCAACCAACTGAACAAAGAACCCAACTTTTTTTAAAAAACTTGGTGGTAAGAGTGCTTTGTTCTGCTTCTCCATAGATAATGATTTATAGAAGGAGAACAAAATATAATTTCTGCTACTAAAACAATAATAGCAAAAAATAAATAATCAATATTGAGAATCCAATAGACAGAGTTAACAACCAGTTAGACATAGAAGAGAGAATTAGTGAATTGGAAGACAACTATAAAGAAAGAAGCCTAAAGAGACCACAAGACAAAGAATGCCAAGCTAAGAGGATAAGAGGCATTGATGCTACAATCAGAGCATCTAACATACTTCTGGATTTCTGGAAGATTAAAAGGGATAAAATAGGGCAGAATCAATGTTGTGGAGATTTTCCCAAAAGTGATAAAATGTATTAATCCATATATTTTTAGTAACCATCAAAGGTCAGACAAGATAACTAAAAACAAATTAACATAAAATGTCACAAGACATCAAAGACCAGTAGAAAATCTGAAAAGTAGCCAGAGGAAAAGATAGATTATTTTAAAAGGAACAACTTTCTAAATGACAACCTGATTTTCAACAGAAAAATGGAAAGTAGAATTCAATGGAATCATGTCTTTAGTGTGTTTCAAAAGAATAGAGGACCTTCATAAACAGAAATCCAAATGATATTTTTCAGATAAAAAATATTGAAAATACAAGGTTAAGCATGCAAGAAGGAATAAAAATTAACAGAAATGATAAATATGTGCATAATTCTAAATGAATGTTGACTGAATAAAATAATAGCGTCTTGCTGAGTTAAATATATTATTGATAAGATATATGCAAATAGCGATAAAGAGACTGGAGGTAAAGGTGACAGGAACAAATTTAGATAAATTATTTTTTGCACTTTTCTATGTCTGTGAGGATAATTTGAACACCACATTTAATGACCCCATAATAGGAATTGCATCAAATGATATGTGAAATAATGCTGATAGTAGTATTATTCATAATAGCTCAAAAATAGACTGCCCAAATATATATTAACTAAGGATGATTGAATGATATGAAAGATTACAGTAAATCCATACAGTGGAACAGTATATAGAGGTGAAAAGAAATGAATCACATGTACATGCAACTATGTAACTAAATTTCAGAAACATGATATCTAGTGCAAGAAGCCATGAACAAGAAGAACACACAGGACTGCACCTATACACAGTTCAAAGCAGGACAGACCAAGCTGTGGAGTTTAGGGTTGTGAACCTAGCTGGTAAAGTATAAAGAAATTCAAGCAAATGATCATCATAGATTATGAATATTGCTTATCTCAGGAGATGTGAATAAAGGTTTAGGGGCTTGGAAAGTGGCCTGGAAGTGGACCTAGTCTGTTTGCAGTGTTCCATGTCTTATCCTGCATGATGGTTACATAAGTGTTTATGATACATTGCTCTTACCTATTTTTGTTTTGGCCCATTTCTAAGTGTGCATTATAATTTTATTTAAAAAATTACAAATTGGGAGAAATGTCACGTAAAAATTATTAATTGCTCTGCTCATTATATACCTAGGGGGAAAATCCACCATTTACGTACATTCTTATACAACTCAAGAGAGCTAAAGTGAATTCTTATTTTAGTTGCAAAATGGAGAAATTTGAGATGCTGTTACCTACAGCCTCCAGATCTTTCCAAAAGTTTTCTTCTAGTTTTAGATATTCACCTCATATTACAAAAACTTTGATATTTCCAACCTATTTTTCCTTTGGCTCCTGAATTTCTGACACAACAAGGGCGCACATATTTCTCAAACTCTTGGATTAGCAGAGTACCTATATCACTTAGCTTTTTCTGCAAAAGAAACTTCTCCAAAACCACATTAGATATTTATATCTCACATGTTTTTGGATTCTGTTTTCTTAAGCTGGGGTTTGGTGGATGGCTCTGGTGATTTGAGATGGTCCAAGTTTTGCCTCTTGGATCTAGTTAGAGTTTGGCCGATTTAAGGCTGGATCAGGCAGGGGCCATATGATTCCATGAGTTACTCATTCTTATTCTGGGAACAGTGTGTTAGTGTGGACATGTTCTCATTATAAACCGGAAAGGAACAAGAAAGCCTAATGTGGAGGTCATCTCAAATTTCGATGTAAAGTGTAGTAATTTTCTGTTCATCAAAGCAAATTACATGATCGAACTCAGAGCCCTAGTGCAAGGTTGTCACTATGCCTGTGGTGGGAGGACACTGCAAAATTATGTGACAAAGGTCTGGTACTCAGGAATGTTTACAAGCTTGCAGGTAGCATTACCAAAAGCCTAAGCATGAGAGATATGTTTCATGAATATTATTCATTGGCTGAAAATCTGGCATGGGAAAAATAGGACTAATTCCACCAGGACGAGCTCCTGGAAACTCATTTTCCATGTCATAAGTTACAAGAAAGCAATTCCTTTCATCCTTGAAGAGTGAAAGTGTGTGTGTGTCTGTGTGTGTGTTTATGAGCTTGTTAATAGTGATGCCATATAGAAGTATTGGTTAACAGCAACCAAATTATAAGGAGTATTGGCTTTCCTGTGGTTTCCAAGAAAATCTTAGGTGATTTTGATAAAAAGTTTAGATTCTGTGTATTTAAATCTGGCTTTAAAAATAAATCCATAGTGATTTTGATCCTAGATTTCACCAGGCTCTTTTAACAATATATTTTTTGTGTCATCTATGTACTGGGTATTAAAATTTCCCCAACAACTGAAGGGCTGAACACAAATTATGGAAAGGTGAAACAAGGAAAAAATTGCAAAGCAATGAAAGAGGATATGTCTTTATTTGAATGCTAGCAAATGAGAATTCAGCTTTCCCTTCAACATCAGTATGAAAAATTTCAGCCTATAGCAAGAATAGAGACTTTATGAATAAGAATTAATTTGAGTTGTTTTGGGACTAACAGTATTTCCCATAAAGGCAGCATTGAACTCATTCATTAGTTTAAGCTGGTGCTTTTCTGTTGACATTGTTCACAGAATTTAAAAGTATAAAGAATGTTATTGAACATTCAGGAATCAAGTGCATATTTAATTTAAAGTCTTGAATATCAGAGGAGTCACCATCAGTGACATTAGGCCTGAATTTTTTACTTGCTTTTTTGTTTAGACATGATGAGTTTTCTACACATTGTTTTTTCCATTCTAGTAGTGGTTGCATTTATTCTTGGAAATTTTGCCAATGGCTTTATAGCACTGATAAATTTCATTGCCTGGGTCAAGAGACAAAAGATCTCCTCAGCTGATCAAATTATTGCTGCTCTGGCAGTCTCCAGAGTTGGTTTGCTCTGGGTAATATTATTACATTGGTATTCAACTGTGTTGAATCCAACTTCATCTAATTTAGAAGTAATAATTTTTATTTCTAATGCCTGGGCAGTAACCAATCATTTCAGCATCTGGCTTGCTACTAGCCTCAGCATATTTTATTTGCTCAAGATCGTCAATTTCTCCAGACTTATTTTTCATCACTTAAAAAGGAAGGCTAAGAGTGTAGTTCTGGTGATAGTGTTGGGGTCTTTGTTCTTTTTGGTTTGTCACCTTGTGATGAAACACACGTATATAAATGTGTGGACAGAAGAATGTGAAGGAAACGTAACTTGGAAGATCAAACTGAGGAATGCAATGCACCTTTCCAACTTGACTGTAGCCATGCTAGCAAACTTGATACCATTCACTCTGACCCTGATATCTTTTCTGCTGTTAATCTACTCTCTGTGTAAACATCTGAAGAAGATGCAGCTCCATGGCAAAGGATCTCAAGATCCCAGCACCAAGATCCACATAAAAGCTCTGCAAACTGTGACCTCCTTCCTCATATTACTTGCCATTTACTTTCTGTGTCTAATCATATCGTTTTGGAATTTTAAGATGCGACCAAAAGAAATTGTCTTAATGCTTTGCCAAGCTTTTGGAATCATATATCCATCATTCCACTCATTCATTCTGATTTGGGGGAACAAGACGCTAAAGCAGACCTTTCTTTCAGTTTTGTGGCAGGTGACTTGCTGGGCAAAAGGACAGAACCAGTCAACTCCATAGATTCACAAGAGGTGCATTGTGTGTTTTCTAGCAGAAAACAAATTGATGGTGTCTGGAACATTTTATATTTCCCACAAGTTTTTCCGTAGTCTATGTATTTGAGTAATTTCCAAAAGTTGACATAGAAAAGTCTTTTACCTAAGTTTATTATATACAAGTATATATATATAATATACATTTGCGTGTGTGTGTATGTCTGAATGTATATGAAAATTTAATATTTACCATAACATACCTTTAATCAACTTTTCATATAAACTGTTCAGTTATACCAAAGTAGGATAAGAAATTTCTCAGAATTATGAACCCATGTGTATTTCACACATTTTTTTATATGATATTTCATTTGAGGAATTTATGATCTCTATTTATAATTAAGAACTGACAGCTTATATCAGAAAATCATTGCTGTTTTTCGTTGTAAAATCATTGCTGTTTTTCGTTGTAATTTGTATCACGTATATGTACCATAGTGTGTTTAACTGTTTAACTATCATTGTTTGAACCTCTAATTTTTTGGATGGTAAGGACATTTAATTCTAAATCGATGAGAATGTGTCTTTGGGGTAGGTTTTTTTGTTTTTTTTTTAATCATGAATTCTTTTTTTCTTTTTTTTGAGATGGAGTCTTGCCCTGTTGTCCAGGCTGGAATGCAGTAGCACAATCTTGGCTCACCACAACGTTCACCTCTGGGGTTCAAGTGATTTCCATGCGTCAGCCTCCTGAGTGGCTGGGACTCCAGGCATGCGCTACCACACGTGGCTAATTTTTTGTATTTTTCTTTTTTTTTTTAGTAGAGATGGGGTTTCACCATGCTGGCCAGGCTGGTCTCGAACTCTTGACCTCAAGTGATCCACTGCCTCAGCCTCCCAAAGTGCTGGGATTATAGACATTCATGATGAATTCTTATTTTATGTTTAATATAAAGCAAATACAATTATTGTTAGATAACAATGCACAAAATAAAATTCAAGGGTGAAAAATATATCTAGTGTACATTTTTATGTGTATCAAAAGCAATACTGAGGAATATTATATTTAATATAGTATGTTAATAGCTTAGAAAAAATCATTTCTATAAAAAGGATGAAGAAACATGATCATGAGCTCTTTTCAGTGCTGTTATAAGTTTCCATACGCAATTAGAAAAGTCATCTCTTCCAGTTTTTGAATTAAACAAAAACCTTTTTGAAGTTGAGATCTGATGTTATATATTTCAGTTTTTTGTCTAAGCCACCTCTGAGCTCCTGAATTGTCAATTTCCTCCTTTATCTTCCATCCTTAAAATTCCTCAAAAAGCTCAAATTTTCCTTACTTTAAAAAGAAGCTCAATCTAAAGAGGGTATAGAAACTATGGCATCTATGAAATCTATATATTAATGATAGGAAATGTCTTAAAGATATGTTTTATTATAATCTTGGTGTAAATAATGAAATGAGAGAAAGTGTGTTGACATATTCACTAATAGCAAGTTCTATTACAAGAAGAAAATGTATAACCTAGTTCAACAGCTAAATTCTGTGTGACTGTATTAATTTCTGGTGTTATGCAATTTTAACAATATTATCTAAACCTTAAGATAAATCATCTCCACATCTGATTTGTTTGTTTATCATATATCTTACCTGGTACAATGTAAATACCATAAAAGTAGAGATCATATAGATCTTGCTTACTGTAGACTCCCAAGACATAAAGATAGCACATAGAATAGGTATTGAAAAATGATACTTTGATGAACAAGTTAATTGGTGAATGAATGAATATGAACTATATTGGGGTGGTGAACCAATGAAAATGTAACACATCACAAAATCTACAGTTGGGTGCACATTTCTGTTCTGGTTTCAGATTGAAGTTACAGGATTATCCAAGAAGAAGAAGAATTTCTCAGAGCAAAAGTTTGGCTATTCCACAATTCTAGGGGAAATATCACTATAATATAGCAGTGATGCAGCTATATCAGATGTGTGACACAAAGACAAAGTGGAAAATAAAAAGATGGCATTTATTACAATACTTTTTACTAAGCATATAAAAGATTTTTGTATAAGTGCACATATCTTTTCTATTGCGAATGATATATTTATATTGTGGTATTTCTAGCTGGTTATTATATAAACAAAAATGACATTTCATTTAAAAATTTAGTTACCAACTATCTTACTAAAATATAATCTTTATTTAGTATTTTTAATATCCTTTCTAAATGACCACTTTAATCACCATATTATAAACTGATGGAAAAATGAATGAATAATAATTATAACACTGAATGAATATCTTATCATCAGGGGTCTAGAAGTAGAGCAAATGTCTGATATTAAAGTGATGACATTTATTTGGAAGGAGGTCCACTGCAGAAATGGCTGGGACATGTGGAAATTGAGTCAAGAGAAGATGTGACACTATGTGCTGTAATGTGTGATATGACTCTGCTGACGACCACTTCACAATGATGTGAGAGAGACAGCATGGTGGTTATCAGATGCATGCACTTGGCTCCCAGGACTTTTTCAGAAGGGCTGCGAGAGGACAACACAGCCAGCATTAGCCCATGGAAGCAACAGAGGACGGAGAATATATCTGCTCAGCTGTCTTCTGTCTTCTATTTCCCACTGGCCAGGGTTTCCCTGAGGCAGAACTACCATCTCTGCTGTTCTGCTTTCCATCATCCAATCCCTTGATGGAGGTTATGAAAGTCAGACCTCATGCCCACAATGTGGTGATCCATTCAAGTCCCAAATGGAAGGGTGATGTGGGTCAGGCAAGGTGCTGACCAGGGGAATAGGAGACAGTCAAGTAAATCTGAGGAAGCACATGTTTGTGTCCCATGCAGTCCACTCCTTGTGCCATTCAGATGTGCTCATGCCCTCCAATCATGGCTGACTATGAGCATATAATTTCCACTGTTGCACAGGGTCTTGTGCTTAGAGACGCACACGCTTAGAAGGGCTTTATACATGGGTTAATTTTCTGCACCTGCTGTTTTGTTTTTGAGACAGAGGGCACTCCTCTGCTAAAGAGGGAATGGTCTTGCACTAATTGGCTAGGGGTTTGCTCTCCCCTCTCCTGTGGGCTTGTGAGAAGCATGCACAGAGTCTTATAATGCCCACTATGCATGCATGCCTCTAGCGGGTTTGAATTCTGCTGGATTATCTGTCACAATGAGCACAGCAGCTTGGACTAGAGCCTACATTTGCTAGAGGCATTTTTTGTTCTAGTTCCACTTGAGACCAGTAGCCTTTGGCAACTTCATTAGTGAATCAGAGCAGTATCCTCAAATGTGGAATACGTTGGCTCCCAAATCCCAGTAGGCCCAACAAATATTGTGTCTCATTTTTAGTGACAGGAAATAGATGTATAGAGAGCAACATGCTGTTTACTTTAAAAGGGTGTTTCAGCATGTGGACTAGGAGCACTGGACCCCTAAAATCATCATCTATGTTATAGGTCACTGAATCTTCTTGTTCATCTTTCTTCTTCTGGTATTTAGTTCTGTTCAATGTTATGGTATTTTACTATATTTGAGAAACTCATCACTTCCTGCTTATGGGTAACAGTTAATGCAATATTATTAATATATTGAGTTAGCATGATGTTTTGCAAAATGCCAATTAAACTGAAAACAGAAGTGACATAGCCATGACATAAAACAGTGAAGCAGTGCTTTTGTTCTTACCTCACCAAAACAAATCATTTTGATTTTCTCTCCCAATCGATGTAGATTAAAAAGCATTCACCAAATCAAACGCCTCATACAAAGAACCAGAAACCATGTTTTCTCAGTGAAGGTACCACATCCTAGAGAGCATCTGCAAGTGTGATTTAAGTTTATGCTAATGTGCATTCATCTGATAATCCATCTGGCTTTGGCAGAAGCCAGATAGGTTAACAGAATAGGGATCAAAAATGGACAACCACCTCCTGGAACTTTTGAGTTTTTTGTCATGTCGGTGACCAATTCTATTCCTTGGACAATGCGGTTAGTATGTTTTACTCATTTTCTTGCCAGAAGAGGAGAATTACCGAGGACTCTTTTTGGTCCTACTTACAGTAATGTCCCTTAATATACAGGTCTGGAAGCAATGTGAGAGTTCTGCTAGCTGTTGAAACTGTTAATTTCATTTAACATTCTGGAAGAGATAATAAATATAAACCCATTACATCCACCTTAGGTTGAACATGAGCCAAAGCTTTATGCAGCATCTGACTTTCAAAAACTCATACTCCAGGCCTGGTGAGGTGGCTCACACCTGTAATCCAAACAATTTGGGAGGCTGAGGTGGGAGGAGCACTTGAGGCCAGGAGTTCCAGATCAGCCTGGGCAAGACAGCAAGACCCTGTTTGTTAATGAAAATAAACTGATTGTAGTACTGCGTGCCTGTAGTTCCAACTACCCAGGAAGTTCTGGCAGGGGGATCAGTTTAGCCCAGGAATTTGAGTCTGCAGTAAGCTATGATTGTGCCATTTCACTCCAGCCTGGGCTGCACTCTAGCCTGGGCAACCAAACAAGACTCTGTCTCTAAAAACAAAAAAAAACGAACAACCGAAAACAAAGCCTCCCACTCCATTCTGTGAAACACAGTGTCTTTTTTTAGTTCTCAAATATTATTAGTGTTAGTTCAGGCCCCATGTTTAAAATTCTGAGAGTATGGATATATGTCCTTTCCTCTGGGTACTGTTATGGCTACAGGTGAAATGGCTACAGGTGCTTGAGAAAGGGTCAAGTGAATATTTCCTGAATATTTTTGTGGTGAATCTTCAGTGTTGTTTACCGAGGGCATGTAAGCTTTCCTTCAATCATTGAACTCTGCTTCTCTGAACTGGCTCAGTCCAGAGAACTGGCTAAGGGT